>NC_000017.11:10339595-10491111 GCF_000001405.40 Homo sapiens | reverse complement strand
TATCCTAATATTCGAATTACACATTGCCATTTCCTTTGGTTATTCACAATGAGAAAAACGATAAATAAATGGGCATATGTTAAGCAAAGAGTCAGGAAAAGATGGAAGGATCTGATTATGGTAGCAAATCTTAGCTGTACCCTCACTTAATATTGACCCTCCTGGAAAACATGAGATCTCTTATGCTCTTTGGAATATTCCCCTCAACCCACTTCTTGGTTTAAATTGAAATCTGCCTCCCCCTGATAAAAATCCTTCCCTGTAAGTCTTCTTAAGAGGTGGCCATTATTCTCTCATGGTTCAAGAACTCCTTAGTCCTAAGCTAGAAATAATACCCCTCTCAATTCCCCTTGTTGCTTATCCTCCTATAGAAGACTCTTCCTTCTTTGAAGTTCATATTATTTAGCTATTCCACATACCTACTGTGGTCATTTACTAACTTTTCATTCATCAAAGATTTTGGCACCTGCTTTTCCTTTCCACCCAATCCTTACCACATTCCTGGGAGATTTCAATGTCCACATGGATGATTCATAGACTATACTAACTTCCACCTCGACTACCTTCTCTGCCACTACCCCTCTTCCATAGTCTCATCTCACTCTAGAAAATATCACAAAACTGCCCAATCTCCATTCTCCAAACTAACTACATAAAGCATCTCCTTTCTGATTTTCTACCTTACTTGTTGGACTATTCCCGACATAACATTTCTTCAACCCCATTAGCACCTGAATATTTGGTCTCTTTACTTCTTAACTAAATCAGCCTCTTTTTTATCTTTATTTCTCTTCCCATTTAAGGAAAATTCATAACCTATCTTTATAGCCATTCTCTTGACAACTCCCTAAATTTCTCTGCCATTCTCTATACCCTATTACATTTGAGTGGAAAGAACTAAACCTGAATAAACTCAGACACCAATGCAGGACTACACAGATAACAAAGGATCATGTAAACATGACACCACCAAATGAAACTAATAAAGCTCCAATAACCAACCCCAAAGAAATGGAGATCTATAAACTGCATGAAAAAGAATTCAAATAATAATCTTAAAGAAGCTCAATGAGAAGCAAGAAAACCAAAATAGACAACTAAACAAAATTAGGAAAACAATGCATGAACAAAGTGAAAAGTTTAACAAAGAAATAGAAACCATAGTAAAGACAAAAAAAACCCCCAGAAATCCTGGAGCTGAATAATACTATAAAAGATAGAAAAATTCAATAAAAAGTTTCAACAACTGACTCAATCATGCAAAAGAAAGAATTAGTGAATTCAAAGATCTGTCATCAGAAATTAGTCAATTAGAGGATCAAAAAAGGAAAAAGAAAAAGCATAAAGGACTATGGACACCATCAAGCATACAAATATATAAATTATGACAGTGTCAGAAGGAGAAGAGAGAAAAAGGGACAAAAAGCTTATTTAAAGAAATACTAGCTAAAAATTCCCAAATCTTGAAAAGGATATACATATCCAGATCCATGAAACTCATAGAATCACAAGACAAATTAACCCAAAAAAAGAATATTCCAAGATATTGTAATAAAATTGTGAAAGTCAAAGATGGAAAATTTTGAAAGAAGCAAGAAAAAAGCAGCTCATCACATACAAGGGAACCTACATAAAGCTAACAGTGGACTTCTCAACAGAAACCCTGCAAGTCAGAAAGGAGTGGGATGACATATTCAAAGTGCTGAAATAAAACACTACAAGCAAAAATACTGTACTTGGCAAAGGTATCCTTCAGAAATGAAAAAGCAATAAAGACATTCCCAGACAAACAAGAGCTCAGAGAGCTCACCACTACAAGACCTGCCTAACAAAAAATGCTAAAGGGAATTCTTCAGATTGAAATGAAAGAATGCTAAGTACGACATGAAAACATATGAGGTCGGAGATGGTGGTTCACGCTGGTAATCTCAGCATTTTAGGAGGCCAAGGCAAGTGGATCAATTGAGGCCAGGAGTTTGAGACCAGCCTAGCCAACAAGTTGAAACCCCATTTTGTGCCTATAGTCCCAGCTACTCAGCAGAATTGCTTGATTCTCCCTCAGGCAGGAGAATCGCTTGAACCCAGGAGGCAGAGGTTACAGTGAGCTGAGATCATGCCACTGCACTCCAGCCTAGGCAGCAGAGCAAGACAAGAAAGAAAGAAAGATGAAAGAAAGAAAGAAAGAAAGAAAGAAAGAAAGAAAGAAAGAAAGAGAAGAGAAGGAAAGAAAGAAAAGAAAAGAAGGAAGAGAGAGAGAGAAAGAAAGAAAGAAAAGAAAAGAAAAAGAAAGAAAGAAAATAGGAGAGAGGAAGGAAGGAAGGAAAAGAGAAAACATATGAAAGTATAAAACTCATAGGGAAAGTTAAATACACAGTCAAAATCAGAATACTCTAATATTGTAATAGTGCTGTGTATTTCACTTCCAATTCTAGTATAAAAGCTAAAATACAAAAAGATTTTAAAACTATAGCTATAATAATTTAATATAAACTAATATATATAAATTTTATACACAACATAAAAATATGTAAACTGTGGCATAAAACATGGAGAAAAATAAAAGTGTAGAGTTTTTGTATATGATTAAAGTTGTTATCCACTAAAAAGAGAAGGTTATGTAAGCCCCATGTTAACCACAAAAATAACCCCTATGGTAGATGCACAAAAGATAAATAGAAAAAAATCAACATGTACCACTAAGAAAACCCAAAAAATCACAAAGACAGCAAGAAAGAAGAAGGAAACAAAAGATCTACAAAACAATCAGAAAACAATTACCAATTAAAAGGCAATAGTAAGTCCTTTCAATAATTACTTACAATGTAAATAGACTAAATTCTCCAATCGAAAGAAACAGAGTGGCTGAATGGATTTAAAAGACAAGATCCAAAAATATGCTGTCTACAAGAGACTCACTTTAGTCTGAAGGACATAGGTAGACAGAAAGTAGAGATAGACAGTTATTCCATGCAAATGGTAACCAAAAAATAACATGAGTGGCTACACTTATATTAATTTCAGTCAAATTCTGTCATGAAACAAAGTAGGTCACTATGTAATGATAAAAGAATCAATCCATTAAGAGGATATAATAATTGTAATTATATATGCACCCAACATTAGAGCACCTAAAAATATAAAGTAAATATTAACAAAACTAAGGGAAGAAATAGACAGCAATATAATAGTAGAAGACTTCAATATCCCACTTTTAACAATGGATAGACCAACCAGACAGAAAATCAGAAGGGAAACTGCAGACTTAATAACAATATAGACCAAATGGGTCTAACAGACATATATGGACCATTCCATCCCAAAACAACAGAATATATATTCTTCTTAAATGCACCTGAACATTTTCCAGGACAGGTTACATATTTGGCCACAAAACAAGTCTTAACAAGTTTAAAAATATTAAGATCAAGTATTATTTCTAACCACAATGGTATAATACTAAAAAGAAATAACAAGAACATTTTGAAAAATTCACAAATATGTGAAAGTTAAACAACACACTCCTGAACAACCAATGGATCAAAAAAGAAATCAAAGAGGGAAATAAAAAAATATCTTGAGACAAATAAAAATGAAAATACAACATACTCAAATTTATGGGATGCTGAAAAAGCAGTTATAAGAGGGAAATTTATAGTGATAAATACCAACATTAAGAAAAAAAAAGACTTCAAATAAACTACCTAACTTCACACCCCAAGAAATCAGAAAAAAATAAACTAAGGTCAAAGTCAGAAGAAGGAATGAGAAAGAAATAAAGATTAGGGCAGAAATAATGAATCAGAGACTATAAAGAGAGTAGAAAAGGTCAACAAAACTATGACTTGGTTTTGTCAAAAGATAAAAAACATTGGCAATTCTTCAGCTAAACTAACCAAGAAAAAAAGAGGACTCAGATACATAAAATTATAAATGAAAAAGAAACATTACAACTCATATTACAGAAATATAAAGGATCATAGGGACTATTATGAACAGCTATAGTCAATACATTGAATAACCTAGAAGAAATAGATAAATTCCTAGAAATAGACAACCTACCAAGACTGAAGCATAAATAAAAAGTCCGAACAGACCAATAATGAGCAAGGAAAATGAATCAGTAATCAAAAAGTCCCAACAAAGAATAGCCCATGACCAGATGGCTTCACAAGTGAATTCTACCAAGCAATGAAACAATTAATGGCAATAATTCTCAAACTCTTCCAAAAGAATGAAGAGAAGAGAACATTTCCAATCTCATTTGTTTGAAACCAGCCGTACTCTCATACCAAAGCCAGATATGAACACTATAAGAAAATAGAATCACAGGTCAATATCCCTGATGAACACAGATACAAAAATCCTCAAGAAAATACTAGCAAACTGAATTCAACAACACATTAAAAGGATCATATGCCATGATCAACTGAGATTTATTCCTATAATTCAAGGATGGTTCAATATATACATATCAATAAATGTAGCATACTACATTAACAGAAAGAAGGATGGATTAAAATCATATTATCATCTCAGTCATGCAGAAAAAGCATTTAATATAATTCAAAATTCTTTCATAATAAAAACAATGACATAGATATAGATAGAAGGAATGTTCTTCAACACAATTAAGACCATATATGACAACCCCACAGCTAACATACTCAATGGTGAAAAGTTGAAGGTTTTTGCTCTAAGATCAAGAGTGAGATAAGGTTACCCACTCTCACTACTTCTTTTCAACATAGTGCTGGAAGTCCTAGCCAGAACAATTATGCAAGTAAAAAAAAATAAAAAGCCATCTAAATAAAAAAGGAAAAAGTGAAATTGTCTCTGTTTGCTGATGACATAATCTTATATATAAAAAGCCCTAAGGATACCACCAAAAAACTGTTAGAACTAGCAAAGAAATTCTGCTAAGTTGCAAGATACAAAATTAACATACAAAAATCAGCAGTGTATACCACTGATTCTGTACACAAACAACTATCTTTTAAAAATTAGGAAATAATCCCATTTACAATAGCATCTAAAAACAAATACACATAGAAGTTAATATGGTTTCTGTTGTGGGAAGTCAGGGACCCCAAATGGAGGGACCGGCTGAAGCCATGGCAGAACATAAATTGTGAAGATTTCATGGACATTTATTAGTTCCCCAAATTAATACTTTTATAACTTCTTACACCTGTCTTTACTGCAATCTCTGAACATAAATTGTGATGATTTCATGGACATTTATCACTTCGCCAATCAATACTCTTGTGATTTCCTATGCCTGTCTTTACTTTAATCTCTTAATCCCATCATCTTTGTAAACTGAGGATGTATGTCACCTCAGGACCCTGTGATGATTGCATTAACTGCACAAATTGTTTGTAGAGCATGTGTGTTTGAACAATATGAAATCTGGGCACCTTAAGAACAGGATTAACAGCGATTTTCAGGGAAGAAGGGAGATAACCTTAAAGTCTGGCTGCCTGTGGGCTGGGCAGGACAGAGCCATATTTCTCTTATTACCAAAAACGGGTCAGAGAAATATCGCTGAATTCTTTTCCCAGTAAGGAATATTAATAATTAACAGCCCTGGGAAAAGAATGCATTCCCAGGGTGGGGCCTCTAAAATGGCTGCCCTGGGAGTGTCTGCCTTATGCAGATGTAGACAGGGATGAAACACGCCCTAGTCTCCTGCAGCACCCCCAGGCTTGCTAGGATTAGGAAATTCCAGCCTGGCAAATTCTAGTCAGATCGGTCCTCTGCTCTTGAACCCTGTTAAGATGTCTATCAATGACAATGCGTACACAGTGGGATGTGGAAGTTCATTAGTGATTCTAGTTTCCCCCTGACCTTGTGATCTCACCCTGACCTTCTGCCTTGTGATCTTTTGTTGCCCTTAAAGCATATGATCTCTGTGACCCACACCCTATTCGTACACTCCCTCCCCTTTGAAAATTGCTAATAAAAACTTGCTGGTTTTATGGCTCAGGGGGCATCACGGAATCTGCCAACATGTGATGTCTCCCCCAGACACCCAGCTTTAAAATTTCTCTCTCATACTCTTTCCCTTTATTTCTCAGACCAGCCGACACTTAGAGAAAATAGAAAAGAACCTATGTTGACTTATCGGGGGCTGGTTCCCCTGATAGGTTTCAATCTGTGTCCCCACCCAGATCTCATGTTCAATTGTAATACCCCAGTGTCAGAGGTGGGGCCTGGTGGGGGAGGGGTGGATCCTTCATAAATGGTTAAGCACTATCCCCTTGGTCATGTTTTGTAATAGAGTTCTCACAATATCTGGTCATTTAAAAATGTGTAGCACCTCCCCACCTCTCTCTTCCTCTTGCTCCAGCCATGTAAGACGCTCCTGCTTCCCCATCACCTTCTGCCATGATTGTAAATTTCCTGAGGCCTCCTCAGAAGAAGCCACTATACTTCCTGTACAGCCTGTGAAAGTATAAGCCAATTAAACCTCTTTTCTTTGTAAATTACCCAGTCTCAGGTATTTCTTTATAGCAGAGTGAGAACAGACTAATACAGGAGTAAATTTAACCAACAAAGTGAAATATGTGTTTACCAAAAACCATAAAACATTAATGAAAGAAATTGAAGATGACACAAATAGATGGAATGATATCTTATGTTCATAGATTGGAAGAATAAATTTTGTTAAAATGTCCATACTACCCAAAGTGATCTACAGAGTCGATGCAATTCCTATAAAAATTCCAATGTTATTCTTTATAGAAATAGAAAAAAAAATCCTAAAATTTGTATGGAAGCACAAAAGACCCCAAATAGTCACAGCAATTTTGATCAAAATGAACAACGTTGAAGGCATCACACTACCACATTTCAAAATACATTACAAAGTTATATGATATGGTTTGGATTTGTGTCCCTGCCCAAATCTCATGTCAAATTGGAGGAGGGAGCTGGTGGGAGGTGACTGGATCATGGGGGCGGATTTCCACTTTGCTGTTCTCATGATAGTGAGTGAGTTCTCATGATATCTGATAGTTTAAAAGTGTGTTGGATCATGGGGGTGGATTTCCCCTTTGCTGTTCTTGTGATAATAAGTGAGTTCTCATGAGATCTGATGATGGCTTAAAAGTGTGTGGCACTTTCTCTCTCTCTCTGTCTCTCTGTCTCCCTCCTACCACTGTGTGAAAAAGGTCCTTGCTTCCCCTTTGCCTTCTGCCATGATTGTAAGTTTCCTGAGGCCTCACAGCCATGCTTCTTGTTAAGCCTATGGAGCTGAGTCAATTAAACCTCTTTTCTTCATAAATTGCCCAGTTCCAGGTAGTTCTTTATAGCAGTGTGAAAATGAACAAATACACTATAGTAATCAAAATAGCATGGTAGTTGCATGAAAACAGATGCACTGACCAATGGAATAAGAATAGAAAGCCCAGAAATAAACTTGCACATCTATAGTCAATTGATTTTTGACAAAGATGCCAAGAATACCAATAGGGAAAGGATAGTCTCTTCAATAGTGGTGGAAAAATTGAGTATCCACATGCATAAGAGTGAAATAGACCCTTATCTCATCATTTATAGAAGAACTAACTCAAAATGGAATAAAGACTTAAACATAATACCTGAAGCTGTAAAACTACTAGAAGAAAACATGGGGAAAAAATCTCCATGACAATGGTATGGGCAGTGATTTCTTTGGTATGACCCCAAGAGCATGGAAAACAAAAGCAAAAATAAACAAATGAGACTGCATCAAGTTAAAAGGCTTTTCTGTACAGCAAAGGAAAGTTAATGGCGTGAAGAACCAACCCACAGATTGGGAGTGATACGGTTTGACTGTGTCCCCACCCAAATCTCATCTTGCATTGTAGTTCCCATAATCCCCACACGTCATGGAAGGCACCCAGTGGGAGGTGACTGAATCACAGGGGCAGTTACCTTCATGCTGTTCTCATGATAGTGAGTTCTCCTGAGATCTGATGGTTTCATAAGCAAATTTTCCACCTTTTGCTTGGCACTTCTTGCTGCTAGCATGTGAAGAAGCACGTGTTTGCTTCCCCTTCAGCCATGACTGTAAGTTTCCTGAGGTCTCCCCAGCCATGCTGAACTGTGAGTCAATTAAACCTCTTTCCTTTATAAATCACCCAGTCTCAGGTATGTCTTTATTAGCAGTGTAAGAATTGACTAATACAGTAAATTGGTACCACAGAGAGTCGGGTGCTGCTGTAAGGATGTCGAAAAATGTGAAAGCAACTTTGGAATTCGGTAACAGGCAGAGGTTGGAACAGTTTGGAGGGCTCAGAACAAGACAGGAAAATGTGGGAAAGTTTGGAACTTCCTAGAGACTTGGAGGGCTCAGAAGACAGGAAGATGTGAGAAGTTTGGAACTTCCTAGAGACTTGTTGAATGGCTTTGACTAAAATGCTGATAGTGATATGGACAATGAAGTCCAGGCTGAGGTGGTCTCAGATGGAGATGAGAAACTTGTTGGGAACTGGATTAAAGGTGACTCTTGCTATGGAAAGAGACTAGTGGCATTTTGACCCTGCCTTAGAGATCTGTGGAACTTTGAACTTGAGAGAGATGACTTAGGGTATCTGGTGGAAGAAATTTTTAAGCAGCAAAGCATTCAAGCAGAAGCAGAGCATAAAAGTTTGGAAAATTTGCAACCTGATGATGCAATAGTAAAGAAAACTCCATTTTCTGGAGAGAAACTCAAGCTGGCTGCAGAAATTTGCAAAATTAATAAGAAGCCAAATGTTAATCACTAAGACATTGGGGAAAATGTCTCCATGGAAGGTCAGAGACCTTCACAGCAGCTCCTCCCATCACAGGCCTGGAGGCCTAGGAGGGAAAAAATGGTTTCGTGGGGTGGGCTCAGGCCCCCCTGCTCTATGCAGCCTTAGGACATGGTGCACTGCATTCCAGCTGCTTCAGCTCCAGCCATGGCTAAACAGGGAACAGGGCCAAGGTACAGCTTGGCCATTGCTTCAGAGGATGCAAGCCCCAAGTCTTGGCAGCTGACTCATGGTGTCAGGCTTGCAAGTGCACAGAAGTCAAGAATTGAAATTGGGGAACCTCTGCCTGGATTTCAGAAGATGTATGGAAATGCCTGGGTGTCCAGGCAGAAGTTTGCTGCAGGGGCAGAGCCCTCATAGAGAACCTCTACTAGGACAGCATGGAAAGGAAATGGGGGTGCAGAGCCCACACACAGAGTTCCCACTGGGGCACTGCCTAGTGGAGCTGTGAGAAGAGGGCCATTGTCCTCCAGACCCCAGAATGGTAGATCCACCAACAGCTTGCACCATGCCCCTGGAAAAGCTGCAGACACTCAATGCCAAGCCATGAATGCAGCCAGGTGGCAGGCTGTATCCTGCAAAGCCATGGGGGCAAAGCTGCCTAAAGCCATGGGGGCCTACCACTTATATCAGCGTGACCTGATATAAGTCTCACTTATATCTGTGAGACATGGAGTCAAAAGAGATTATTTCAAAGCTTTAAGATTTAATTCCTGCCCTATTGGATTTCAGACTTGCATGGGACCAGTAGCCCCCTTTTTTTGGCCGATTTATCCTATTTGGAACAGATATACTTACCCAATTCATGTACCTCCATTGTATCAAGGAAGTAACTAACTTGCTTTTGATTTTACACGCTCATCGGCAGAAGGGAGCTGCCTTGTCTCAGATGAGACTTTGGACTTGGACTTTGGAGTTAATGCTGGAATAAGTTAAGACTTTGGGGGACTGTTGGAAGGGCATGATTTTGGTTTGAAATGTGAGGACATGAGATTTGGGAGGGGCCAGGAACAGAATGACATGGTTTGGCTGTGTCCCCACCCAAATCTCATCTTGAATTGTAGTTCCCATAATCCCCACATGTCATGGGAGAAACCTGGCGAGAAGTAATTTAATCATAAGGGTGGTTACCCTATGCTGTTCTTGTGATAGTGAGTGAGTTCTCATGAGATCTGATGGTTTTATAAGGGGCTTTTCCCCCTTTTGCTCAGCACTTCTCCTTGCTGCCACCACGCAAAGAAGAACATGTTTGCTTCCCCTTCTGCCATGATTGTAAGTTTCCTGAGGCCTTGCCAGCCATGCTGAACTGAGTCAATTAAACCGTTTTCCTTTACAACTTACCCAGTCTCGGGTATGTCTTTATTAGGAGTGTAAGAATGGACTAATACAGGGATAAAATGTTTACAAATCATAAATTGGATAGGGAGCTAATATCCAAAATGTAAAAGGAACTCAAACTACTCAAAAACAAGAAAACAAATAACCCTATTTAAAAATGGGCAAAGGACCTAAATTTCTTAAAAGAAGACATACAAATGGCCAACCAATATATGAAAAGGTGCTCAATATCTCTAATCAGAAAAATTCAAATCAAAACCACAATGTCACTTCATGTGTGTTAGGATGGCCATTATCAAAAAGAGAAGAGATAGTAAGTATTTGGCAAGGCTATAGAGAAGAGGGAACCCTTGTATATTGTTCCTGGGCATGCGAATTGGTATAGCCATTTTGGAAAACAGTATTGAGGTCCTTTAAAGAATTAAAAATAAAACAGCAATTCCACTTCTGAGCGTACAAAGGAGATTAAATCAGTATCTTAAAGAGACACCAGCACTCCCATATTTACTGCAGAATTATTCACAACAGCCAAGATATGGAAACAACCTAAGTGTCTATCAATGGGTGAGTGGATAAAGAAAATGTAACACACACACATACACACACAAATGTTATTCAACCATATAAAAGAAGATAATCTTGCCATTTACAATGACATGGATGAACCATAAGGACATTATGCTAAGTGAAATAAGCCAGTCTCAGAAAACCAAATACCACATGATCTCATTTATATGGTGGAATCCAAAAAGTTGAACTCACAGAAGCAGAGAGTAAAACAGTGGTTGCCAGGGGCTGAGAGTGGGGGGAATCAAAAAGATGTTGGTTAAAGGGTAAAAAATTTCACATATAAGAGAACTAAATGCTGGAGATCTAACATACAGCATGGGTAGTGATGGATGTGTTAATTTAATTGATGTAATCATTACACAATGTATATGTATAGCAAATCATCAAGCTGTACACCTTGAAAATATACAATTTGTCAATTAAATATTTTAAATTAAAAAAAGAAAAAAATAGATGTCACCAAAAGGAAATGGGCTCACGTTTATACTGCCAAGCCATCTTGCTCAAAAGGAAATGGACTCACATTTACACTGTCAAACCATCTTCCTCCTTCCAGTGAGGAGGTGTCTCCTCCAATTTAAGGCCATCTTCTCTGCTTGGCACTAAATCTCCCTCCCTCCCTCCTTTCTTTTTTGGAAGATTTATATAATAGACTACTTCTCTTTCATTTTCATCCCCAATATCTCCCACTGTACTGGATCCTTTCTTAAACTCTCTCTTGATCCTATTTCTTTCTCCAGATTTTGTCTCACTTCTCAACTTTACAACAAAGTGTCTGAAAAGAATTGTGTATACACGCTGTTTTCATTTCCTCACCTCCCACCTACTCTTTAATTCATTTCAAAATAGTTTTTGCTCCCTCACTGAAATGGATCTCACTATGATTCAGTGATTCATTTGTTGCTAAATCAAATGGACACTTCTCAAGCCTTAACTAACATAACCTTCCAATTACATTTTATACATCTGACAATTCTTTCTTTCTGAAATTGATCTCTTCACCTGATTTCCAAGACTTTTTCCTGCCCTGGTTTTCTTCAGAGCTTTGGCTATCTAGTCTCTCCTTCTCTCTCCTTTGTCAGTTCAACTTCCTCTCTATAACCTTCAAGTGTTTATGTGAGCTCAATGTGATATGACTCAAGGTCCCATCTTAGACCCCCATCTCTTCTCACTTAACATTTTCTCCCTAAATGATTTCATCTACTCCCTTAGCTTCTATTGCCATTCATAACCTATGAATTCCAACTTTATATCCCAAGCCTAATTCTCTCCCTTGAGAGTCAGACTCAATCTCACTACTAATAGGCACTTCAAACGCAACACAGCCAAGACGAATTCATGACCTTACCCTCCTCTCTTTAAAACTTGCTTTTGTTCCCATACCACTCTATCATAGTGGATGGCAACATTATCTACATAGTTGGCTCAAGCTAAAAGCTAGGAATCAGCCTTGAAATCTACATGTCCTTCATTCCCCCATATCCAATCAATCATTAACTTTTTTTTACTACTCCTAAACATCTTTCAAGACCATCGATTTCTCTTTATCTTTACTGTCATCTTCCTTGTCCAAACTACTATCATCTACTGCCTGGTCTTCCACATACCTATTCTTACTTCACAAATCTATTCTAAACTGCAGGCAGAGAGAGCTTTTTAAAAATAATAGGCTGATCACAACACTCTGTAGCTTAAAACCATCCCTTTGCTCTTAGCATAAAGGCCAAAACCCTAAAGAAGTCCTTTCGCACCTTGGAAGCTTCGCCTTGTGATACTCTTCACTTCCTAGTCCCTCCAGAACAGTTAAGATGTCCCTGTTATATGATATCATCATTTATTACTTATAATAACTATAATAATGTCTTTCTCTCTGATTAAAATACAAGCTACATGAGTGTAAATTGGGGGTCTTACTTGTTCATTCTTGTATCCTTCCACTTGGGATTGTGCCTTGAACAGTTTATGCTCAATACTTGTATTTTGAAAGTATAAGTAAATGAATGTCTCCAATTTTTACCCAACTTTCATGCTTTCTGTAGGCATCAAAGTATTCACTTTTATAAATTCTATGATACCCAGGTAGACTGAAGTGCTGCCTTTCCCATATTTTAATATCACAGTCATATTCTTCTTTCTCCTGTTGTAATGCTTTTTCCTCCTCTTTGCAAGTCCACCCTACTCATCCTTCAATGTTACCAGCTTCAGAAAGCATTCCCTAGTAGGAAGGAGAATCTGTCTGTAATAAGCTAATATTTTCCCCCTTTCAGTTATTACTTCCTATCTTACATCTCCTATTGATTTACTCCATCCTGATTATCTGTCCTGTTCAGTTATTGCATCCAGTCTTATGTCTCCTGCTTAGTTATTGCATCCTGTCTTAACTTTCCAATCCAGATATTCCACTCTTTCTTATTTCTCCTGCCCTTTTATTGCATCCTATCTTATCTTTCCATTTCACTTACTGCATCCTGTCTTATCTCTTCTGACCAGTTACTCCTGCTTGTCTTATCTTTCCTATTTAGTTATTTCATCCTGTCTTATCTTTCCTGCTCATTTACTACATGCATCCTGTCTTATCACTCCAGTTCACTTACTGTATCCTGTCTTATCTCTCTTTTTCATTTATTGTGTCATGTTACCTTTCGCATTGAGTTATTCCATCTTGTCTCTTCCACTCATTTTTGTAACCTGTCTTATCTCACCTGCTCATGTACTGCATCCTGTCTCACCTCTCATATCCATTTATTGCATCCTGTCTTCTCTCTCTTTCTCTCTCATTTGTTGTACCTGTCTGATCTCTCCCTGTCATTTATTACATCCTGTCTTGTCTTTTTCATTTATCACATCCTTTCTTCTCTCTCCTCTCCAATCCCTGTATCTTGTCTTATCTCTCCCATTCAATTATTATATCCTGTCTTATCCCTCCTGTTCAGTTATTCCATCCTGTCTTATCTTTTACCTTCAGTTATTGCATCCTGACTTGCCTCTCCTCTTCAATTATTGCATCCTGTCTTATTTCTCCTGTTACTCAAGGCAAATCCAGATTTCAGATTGATACATTCATTTTACTTGTTCAAAGAAAAATATCTGTATTTATCCACATTTTACTTCTGCATTTTCCCCAGCTACAACCTATGTTTAAGAAACAATTATTTTTTTCAATCTTTTCTCTTAGTTTCAACACTGTCAAAATCAACAGGCTACTGTTTACCCAGTAAAATTTATAAAAATCCAAAGTACTCACAAACAACTAGTACATGAAAAAGAAAACATTTAATCCATTTTCCCAACATAACTGCCTCTTATCTTTTTACAGTTATCTTTCATTGCTATCCCACAACTTGGAAACAGAGTGTATTCTCTTCCTATCTCTAATGCCAACTCTACAGGAGATGCTAGCTGTTGGCAGGAACAGCAGTGACTTCCCGGTACTTCTTTTCTTGATTAAAGGTATCTTAGCGCCATACCCAAAACTTGAACACAAATAAAATTCTTGAAAGGAAGCATGACTTTTAACATAAAAGTCTACCTCCTGGAGCAAGATGCCTAAGCAAGTCTTGCTCTCTAACTGGAACTGAGGAAGAGGTGAGAATTTAAGGAAATCGAAGATATAATTAAATTTGTCCACTGATTTATTTGTACTACTGTTCATCAATACTTGGAAAATCAGATTCTCAAATAGTAAGTATTAATGTTGCCTGAGCAGTGGAGCTAGCATATGATTTTTCATACCTTAGGGTAGAAATGTCAGATAACAACAAGGAAGGAAAATAAGAGTAAGCCACACAAATAAGTATCGACCCTTGGGAATCCAGGTCCTAAATAATAACACAGAATAACTAGAAAGAGTTGAAAGATTCTATCTCTCCAATTTTTTTCCCACTGAGACTTGCTTGCCCAAGAAAATGTGTGCCTCTGAGTTATTATAACATCACATTTACACTTCTCTATTCATACAATGGAAGAAGTAAGAGGAAAGGTGTAGACAGCCAGGAGGGGTAAGTGGTGAGTGAGCAAAACTGTTTCGTGTATTGGGGCCAAATGATGAATATGTCACCAAGATAGAAGTTTTGAAAAACAGGTTCAAGTCTCTACTTATATCCTGTAGTAAAGAAAACATAAGTCTCTATACGTTTCTATCTTTCAGAGTCATGTAATTTCCATATTTCTATGTGTCATGATTTTAATTTATTTGTGGCATCCTGGTTTTGAATATGTCTGCTTCTGGTGGATAAGAATTATGGTATGTTCAACAACTGGATACCATAACATCACATGAAGTTCCCATACATGTAGGTTTTCATAAAGTGTAAGTCATTTTACAGGAGGTCCCTCACTTATTATCCTGTTAGCTTTTTACTTCTGGCATTGCCTTTACTGTGTCAATAAAATACCACATTAGATAAATATAGAATCTTTGAGTTGGAAGGGCCCTTAGAGGCCATACAGTAAAAGGATAGGCAAAGCACCAGGCATGGTGGCTCACACCTGTAATCTCAGCACTTTGGGAGACTGAGGCATGTGGATTGCCTGAGCTCAGGAGTTCAAGACCAGCCTGGGAAACTTGGCGAAACCCTGTCTCTACCAAAAATACAAACAATTAGCTGGGCATGGTGGTGCGTGCCTGTGGTCAGCTACTCAGGAGACTGAGGTGGGAGAATCGCGTGAACCTGGGAGGCAGAGGTTGCAGTGAGCCGAGATAGTGCCACTGCACTCCAACCTGGGTAACAGAGTGAGAGCCCATCTCAGAAAAAAAGTGAGGGGAAGGGAAGGGAAGGGGAGGGAAGGAAAGGAGAGGCAAGGGGAGGCAAAGGGAGGGGAGGGGAGGGGAGGGAAAAAAGGATATGCCATGGTCTCTGGGATAAACCTGCCTGAGCTGAGCACTAACTCTACCACACACCAGAGTTATGTGGCCTGGGCAATTTACTTACTCAGACTGTGGCTCAATTCCTTTTCAGTATATGGTAATAATAGTACTTTCTACTCTTCGGGTTTGTGTGAGGATAACATGAAGCAATGTATATCAAATGTTTAGAATACACACACGGTTTGTAGTAGGCATTCAAAATACGGAGCTATTTTTTTCTCACTCACTTCCCCCAAATTTTCCCTACCTGGAATGCTCTTCATTTAGATTTTTGCATGGCTAATTATTTCACATTATTCAAGTCACAGCTGAAAGAAGCCTACCTCTTGTGGTCCTCTCCCCACATCAATCTCTATCTCGTTACTCTAATTTATACCTTCCATGGTCTAGCACTTGGAATATGAAATTCTTCTTTAAGTATTTTTATGAGCATATTGTCTCCACTACCACCCCCATCAAAATGTAAGTTCTATCAGAGCAAGCACTTTGGTTTTTAAACCATTGTATATCTGCTCAATAAATACCAATTGAACGAGTGAATACTAACATGGAAAGAAGCTCAAAATACAGTATAATGAAAAAAAAATCCGTGTAATACAATCCCATTTGTATAATACAATCCCACTTGTATAACACAATCCCATTTGTATAAACACCATCCGTATAATACAATCCCATTTGTATAAATATATACACTATATATGTGTGCACAAAAATGTGTTTGCATGTATAGAAAACGGCCTCTGGGACTCCCCAGAGTTTAGATTCAGCACATAGTCATCCTTGACTTAATCATCATCACTATGTGTGTACCTTCTCCAAAACCTCAATTTCAATCATACTATTCAGCCTCTGCACAAACTTGCATAAGGAGAAGCAGATAATCTAAATAGGACTATATCTATTGCAGAAGTTGAATCAAGAATTCCCTAAAAAAGCACCAAGCTCAGATGGTTTCACTGGCGAATTCCACGAAACATTTAAGGAAGAAATAATACTAATTATCCACAATAATTTCAGGAACATAAAAGCAGAGAAAATATTTTCTGACTCATTCTTTGAGGCCAGCATGACCCATACCAAAACCAAATAAAGATGTTATGAGAAAGAAAAAATACACACCAATATCTCTCATAAACATAGATGCAAAAATCCTCAACAAAATCTTAGCAAATCAAATCCAACAGTGTATAAAAAGAGTTACACATCTCAACCAATTGGGATTTATTACAATCAATCTCTATCCAATACCTTCTGTTCTTCCAGCTCACCTACTCCAGATTTTCATCCCTACAATTTCTTTGATATCATCAAGACCTTCTATCCATTGATGCCCCTCCACTTTTTCATTGTTCTGGTGTGTCCCCTCATATTCTCACTTCCTTCCTTATTCAAGCTTAAATTTTATGGAACATTATTACAATTACACACTTGAAAAGATTCTTAGCTCCCTTGCCCATCTCTCCCTCTATTGCACTTACCCGATAAACTCTTACCTTGGTTAAACCCAAATATTCATCTTTTCTGTGGACACATCCAAGCAAACAAAGTTGTGGGAAAAAAGCATGTAACTTTGCTAAACAGGTCTCACTTTAATTTCATGATTATCTCTCAGTACTCTGGGGACATGTAGTATACCTTTCACTCTCCAAAATGAACACTTCACATCTTCTCTCTATATACCCACTACATCTCCTCCCCTGCCTTCCACTCAGTCAATGACTTTGCTGCGTACGTCACTGAGAAAACAGAAGCAAGCAGAATTCCTTCCTAAAATTCTCAATGGCTTCCCATATCACTCAGATTAAAAGCCAAAGTCCCTACTGTCCCATAAGTACCAACTCCCTCATCTTTTCAGCATCAAATCTACTAAGCTAAAACTTGCCTTCACTCTCAGTCTTCTTTCCTAATACACAAAGTGTTCCTGTTCCCATCAGAGTCCAACCCTTCCATTTAGCCTCTGGATTCTAGCCCCTCCATCTTTTGCATTATCAATTTGTTTAACTCACAGAATTTTTCTCCCCAACACAAATATATTTAATCTTGCCCATCTTTTAACAATATGCTTAGTTTTTCCTATCTTGACCCCATGTCTGCCTCCAGATACCACTTCATTTATTTGTTATCCTTCTCAACAATCCTTTTTTTCTCTAATCATTATTATAAGTACTTGTCCCTAGGTGTTGAATCACCCCCAGGATTTGGGATCTTAGGGGCCCCAGATATTGGAGAACAGAGAGAACACTGTGTCCTTTCCAAATTATTGACCCACAGAATGCATGTGCCTTCTAAAATGGCTGTTTTAATCCACCATATTTCGGGTAATTTGTTATGCAGCTATAGTCACTAGGACACAGTCCAAGCCATTACTCTATTCCATCTGCATTGTGGCAATGCCTATCTATCCTTGGCCCTGCTGCCCACTGTTGGCCTACCCTTGATGCCTGCAGTCTACACTCAACATAGAAAGCAGAGTGATTTTTACATTCTGTCAGATTTTATTGCTTCTCTTCCTAAAATTCTCACTGGCTTCCCATATTACTCAGATTAAAAGCCAAAAAGTCCCTATAGTCCCATAAGGACCTACATTACCTGACCCTTCCTAACTCATCTCCTGCCACTCTCCTCTTTGCCCATTTTGCTCCTGTTACAGGTTTTCTTGCTGCTTTTTTAAATTGACAAATAAAAATTATATATATTTACACATATCATGGTGTACAACATGATGTTTTAAAATAAGTATACATTCTGGAATAGCTTAATTCAACTAATTAACATATGCATTACCTCACATACTTATTTGTTGTGGTGATAACACTTAAAATCAACTTTCTTACCAATTTTCAAGTATACAATACATTGTTATTAATTATAGTTATGATGCAGTACAATAGATCTCTTGAACTTATTCCTCCTAACTGAAATTGTATATCGTTTAATCAACATCTAATTCCTTCTCCCAACCCTCAATCCCTGGTAATCACTATTCTATTCTGCTTCCGTGAATTCAACTTCAGATTCTACTTATAGGTGAAATCATGTTGTATGTGTCTTTCTGTGCCTGGCTTATTTCACTAGTATAATATTCTCAAGGTTCATACGTGTTATCACAAATTAGACACTTTAGGCATACTCCTACTTTAGAGACTTGGTACTTTGTGCTCCCTCTGTCTGAAAATTCTTCTTCCAGATATTCATATGGCCTGCTCCTTCACTTCTCTCAAACTTCTACTCAAATGACACCTTAATACAGAAGCCCATCCAGGTCACTCCCCTTGGTGCAGTATTCCCTTTACTCCTTACTCTGCTTTATTGTTCCTTTTATAGTAGTTAATACCATCTGACATACTACATATTTACTTGTTTATTTGTTTATGTATATCCACCCCTGCTGACTGAAATTGCCATAAGGGCAGGGCTTTGCCAGTTTTTTGCATTATCCCCTGTGCTATAACAACAGCTGACACATAGCGGACACTCTGTAAGTATGTATTGAGCAAACAAGTGAGTCAATGACCTACCCACATGATGAAATATAACTATGTAGAATGTAATAAAAGTAGTTGACTTGAAAGTGACTATACAACCTCTTTTCAGTAGTGATGGCCCTTTGGAGTCTCAGAGAAATTTAAAAGAAGACAAACACCAGTCTGACTTGCTGAATCTTAAGGGTTTTTTAAATTAATGTCATGCTGCCACACTGGACACTATAGAAGCTAAGACATGAACATCTCCAACCTAGGTCCCAACTGTATTTTTAAACAAAATTTTTAAAAGAAAAAAAATAATCTTGTTCATTAGACATTTCCTATCTACCATCTGTCTTCAGCTCTTTACTACCACTTTAACTCCCTGGGTATATTTGGGAGAAATACCAGCAAGCCATTGTGACCTTCATCTCTAGTGAAGAAATGTTTGCTTCAGCTGCCCCTGGTGACACTATCCTAAGCAGTTTACATACGTGCATGTATGAATTACATAAGATTGCATATAATAAAGTATACATAATCTCCCATATGTGATATAATAATATAATTTCTGATACCTATATATATAAAATCTAATTTAATTCATACAACCCCGTAAGGTGAAGGCAGTATTTGATTTTCACCACATTTATGTTTTTAATAGATAAGGAAATGCAAGGTTATAGAAGCCTATAATATTTCCTAATCTGAGGAAAGTAGAGAGCGAGCAGCTTTTACACAGACTGCTTAAAGACAGTTTCCAAAATAATTCTCCTTATTTAGATTGGAGCCATTCTTCCCACTCATATCTAATCACAAAGAACCATACAAATACAAAAGCCTTCGCATTAATCTCCTGTGTTTTCTATGTAGACAATCCTTTAAGAGGCAAGTCTAAGGGAAATGTGTACTCCCTCACCCAGTGCTGCTTCTCTTCTCTCCTTGTCCAAGCTCTGCAAGGTTCTCTGATCCACTCCTGGTGGCCCATAATAGGGGTCCCACTAGAATATTATGGTCTTGTTTCAGAGCTTTCAAAATCTGAGTGATCAGTCTATCTGTAATTGATCAGAGTTTTAACTATTATGTAAAGAGTCCTCACTATCTGTAATCCTATAACTCATCTATGTATCTTGGTCTCATTCATATTTTCTTCTTTCATCTTTCAACTTCAAATACAGTAAATATAATACATACTTATTATGTCTGCAAGTCAGATGTTAAGTTCCAAAAGAAGTAAAAATAAATGAGTTGTGAAAATCTGAGAGAAAAAATAGAACAAGTTTCCTTCTGGCCTAGAGCCTAGCACTTTGGGTAAGTCGCTAGACTTCGGTGAGTTATTTTCATGGAGATTTTGTTTTTAACGCCTGATGACCTATTTCATAGAATTTTATCAAAATAAATTTTTAAAGTATAAAAGATTCAATCTATCAATGTGTCAAAGATAAATTCTAAGTCAACAGAATTATAAAAACAGTGATCTCATTAATTGGTAATTTAAGCCAGCTAATGATAGTTGAAAATATCTCACCAGAGCTCAGTTAGGGTCACACTTAGAGTAGGTATATTTCCTGCCATATTCAGTAACAGCTGTGTATGTAGCAAAACCATCAAAAGCCAATTTATGAGTATTATGGGCATATGTGATGGCCCATCCATCTTTTCAATCCACAGGGAGAATATCGTGGATACCATGACTTTCCTCCCACCTTAAATAAAAATATGTGGTTCCCACCTCATTAGAGCTATAGCTAGTCATGAGAGTCTGCCCATGAACTAGGAATGCATGTTTGTGTCTCCTTCCATTATGCAGAGGAAACATGCATGGAACATCACACAGCATCCTGTTGTTCCTTCAGTGAAAACATACAAGCTGGAGATATCCATGGAAAGTCCTCCAGAAAAAGAACAGAAGTGTTTATATCTATTCTAAATCCCTTATGCCTCCCCCAGTGGTCCATCACCACTGCCTAATCTGAGAATTCACTTTCACCTTCATATTTAGACTTTCAGACTTTAAAAGAATCTATCGCCAGTCTTTCTAAAATCCAGACTGTGGCTAGGAATGTTGTCTTAAAATCCATCGCTCACTGCTTCCAATCATAGTGTCAGGTCTAAAATTCATTCCAGACTCCTTAATGGCTCTAAGAACCAACAAATTAATTAATCCTAAATTCCTCACATCAGACTCATTCTGTTGGACCAATTTTATAGGCAGAGGAGTAAGTGGGAATCTGGCTTTGAATTCTGTGATGAATGATGCAACAGCCAAACTGGAGAAACAGTGTTAGAAGCCCTGAATCCCCATCCCCTATCAAATGCCTATAAAGAACCCTAGATCATCCTCTGTTAAATTATTTATGGGTGTCAAGAAATATTTCTAATTATATCCATTCACAGCCACAGTCAGTGAATATTGTGCAAAGAGATTGCCAAAAACGGTTTTGCCAAGTAGGTTCCCAGCTAGGACAGCTGAGGTGGCTGCTGTGTTTGCAGAATGGTCTCTATAAAAGTGGAGCTGAGATGCCTCTTTCCCATCCTTCCTCAAAATTCTTGAAGGTATGTATATGTGGAAGAACACTTACTTTTACATTCCTGATGATGATGATTTTTCATTTAAGGGATGTCTACTGCTTCCCAAATTTTAATTATTCTTTCCAACATTCTTAAGGACGACATTGTAGACAATATAGTTACTAGTATTTTGTGATTAAATGGGGAAAAAAAAGCATCCCACATTCTCTTTTTTCTTTCAACAGTAGTTGTCTGCTTTGAGCCTGCCACCTTCTTCATCTGATAATACAAGAGGTAAGAATAATTTATTATTACACTCTAAAGAACAAAGGAATCTCTATATTGCTACATCTTAATGAGCTACCATTTTATTTCCTAGTTTAGTATTGGGAATAGGATATCGGGGCAGCTGTTCTTTAAAAATGCCTTCTCATAAAATTTTGACTTTTCAGGCCACTTAATCAAACAAAACTTAATGAAACTTCTCTTTCACATGTTGTTAGAACTACAGAAAGAATGCAGCCATCATATGTAATATTTAATGTGAACTACTACTCCAACTTAACCCATAAAGATATATCAGAGAGACCGCATGATAAAATCAAGGTGTGTTTATCTGGAAGTCGATATTTCTAGGTGCCAATCCAGGCTTTTCACTGATTCTATTTGCCTGGGTCAAGCCAGTTAGCCTTTATGTATCTTGAAATACAGTGTGTTGCAAGTGGAATTAACAAACCTGCATTTAGCGGAACAGGACTCATGTCCCAGTACCGCCACTTATCACCCACCACTATGACACTGAATGACCCTGAACCTTTCTAGGCCTTAGTTTCCTCATCAGTAAACGAGGAGGCTGGATTCTATTGACTGCTAAGGTCCTTCCAGCTCTTGCCAACTGTGATTGACGTCAGTGGTTTTCAAGGACTCCTCCACAGAATCAAAACATTTAATGGAACCCTGCTAATGGAGAATCAAAACTAATGGAATCCTGCTAATTGTTCATGTGGAGACATGTACTTTTAGTATGATGTTAAGGATATATATAATCATGAAAACCTATTCTACACTTAAGAATTATTTTAAATGAGTTTATATTTAACATAGCAGCTATATTCATTTAGAAAAGAACAGAAAACACTGTTCATGTGGAAATGTTCCTTCCTTAAACTTGAGGCAATGATCACTGTGTGGGTGGATTCAAGAACCCCCTGCAACAACCTGAGGCTCTATTGGGGCTTGATCCCCAAGTTGGGAAACAATTAATCTATAATAAGACAGGAGATGGGAAGGGTAGCAATCATCTTTCTGTGTTTCCTGGATACACTGCATTATAGTAACCTCCACGTGGTAGTGTGTTGTTAATTCAAGTTGCCTGGTGTAAAAACAAACACAGAAACAAAATATAATGTAATATAAATAACATTTCTTCTTCAAAGAAAAAAAACCTGACATTAAATGTTCCAATATATATCCCCTGAAAATATGTCTAAGTTTCACAGTGTCATCAGGACACTTTTACAGATAAGACTGATTTTGAAAATAGAGTATGTGGAAATTCCATAGCTAACATTTTAAGTTGAGGGAAAGTTAATGCTGATGACAAAAGATCAAGACTCTGGAAAGCCTACAGAAGGTGGTGGCTATTGCTGTTGTCGCCATCATTGCTGTCATTGTCATTGGCAACCAAGACACTTCTGCTCCACAGAGGTCACCTTCTTTTATTCTGGCCACTCACCCTGTCCTTGCCATCAGGACAGCAGGACTTATTTTATTTTCTCATAATTAATTTGTCAGTAGGGAAAATTTTTTAAGTTCATTTTGGCTTGAAACTTTATACTGGCTATCCATTTCAGAAAAATATTTAGAAGACTGGTTGGTATTTTTAAAAAGAGGAGAAGAAAGAACGAGATTATAAACCTAAGAAAATAAGAATCAGATTTTAAAATATGTTAGGTTGAAATCCAACTAAAAACAAAGAGAAATACAGATCAACACATACAATCACTATAAAATTTTATTAAAAATTAAGAAGTTCCTTTTCTCCAAGAATCTTTTAAAGTTGTTTTTGGTTTAGATACTACTTCTGACTTTCAAACAATTTCAAAACTAATAAAGGAGATTTTAATTTTAACTTAGGGCAAAATTATATGTTGGATATTCAGCTTTCATTGTAGTTATTTTTTCCTTTACTTACCTAATACCTGTCAGTTAACTAGGTGTTTATTTGTAATGATTAGATCTGGACTTATGTCCGGAAAGAACAGGTGTATCTGTCTACATTCAATTTTAGTAAATCTGACATCCAATTTTAATAATTTGGGATGAGAGGAAAATTTGCATAAAGATCTGTATTTGAGTTTTTAAGACAGGTTCATTTATATTGTAAAGCCAGTGGAAACAGTTATTGTCCATTTCTTTGTATCATCACGATGTTAAGAGGGGGAAGTTGGAAATAAGAAAGAAAAGAAAAGTAGCAAGAAAAAGAAAAAATTCTGAACATGCTTGGAGCATCACAAATGTTGCTGATTGAATGTTGATTCCTCCACATTTCTCAACTAAGGTTTACAACATAGAGGATGGAACTTAGGCTTAAAGTATCACAAAAATTAAGCTATCAACATAGTGCTTTCAAATCAATGAGCTGATCTCTCAGCTCCTTGACATAGTATACAGGAGTGGTCCCTAAAGGCAGGGGTGAGGAAACAAGCATGGAAAATTAAGCACATTAATATGAAATCAACAGAACAATTCTCCACCCCAACCCTGAATCATCATTTGGCTCTGTTTCTTCCTCTAGGTATACCTAGTCCAGTACTGCCATCAATAACCTGCAGCCATGAGTTCTGACTCTGAGATGGCCATTTTTGGGGAGGCTGCTCCTTTCCTCCGAAAGTCTGAAAAGGAGCGAATTGAAGCTCAGAACAAGCCTTTTGATGCCAAGACATCAGTCTTTGTGGTGGACCCTAAGGAGTCCTACGTGAAAGCAATAGTGCAGAGCAGGGAAGGGGGGAAGGTGACAGCCAAGACCGAAGCTGGAGCTGTGAGTAAAAACACCTGGAGCTAATTAGACTCTGCCTCATTTTGGGTTAATTTAGGTGATATTTTTTTGACCTGGCTTTTTCTGCTACTTATTTGATATGCACTTGTTTTTTCTTTTCTTAACAGACTGTAACTGTGAAAGAAGACCAAGTCTTCTCCATGAACCCTCCCAAATATGACAAGATCGAGGACATGGCCATGATGACTCACCTGCATGAGCCTGCTGTGCTGTATAACCTCAAAGAGCGTTACGCAGCCTGGATGATCTACGTGAGCACCCTTTCAACGCTATTTCTCACTCACTCCACATTCTACACATGTTAGCTAAAATAAATTAAGGGGTTTCAATACATTTGGCTATTGAACTGTTCTTTTATGACCAATTGTTTGGTTAATGTTGTAAACTCTGATATGTTTTAAAATGTACATGTGGAAAACCATTTACTTAACTGAATTAGTTGAAAAACTGGGCCGGGCGCGGTGGCTCACGCCTGTAATCCCAGCACTTTGGGAGGCCGAGGCGGGCGGATCACGAGGTCAGGAGATCGAGACCATCCCGGCTAAAACGGTGAAACCCCGTCTCTACTAAAAATACAAAAAATTAGCCGGGCGTAGTGGCGGGCACCTGTAGTCCCAGCTACTTGGGAGGCTGAGGCAGGAGAATGGCGTGAACCCGGGAGGCGGAGCTTGCAGTGAGCCGAGATCCCGCCACTGCACTCCAGCCTGGGCGACAGAGCGAGACTCCGTCTCAAAAAAAAAAAAAAAAAAAAAAGAAAAACTGAAGCATTTTGTGCAGCAGCAATGATGGAAGGAGGCAACAAATGAATGAAACTTTATGAGAACTAACACAGTACTTAGGTCCTGCTCTACTTGCCCTTAAACAGTATTTCCAAGATAGATAAACAAGGTGATTGCTGATCGAGGAACCCCGTCCTTTCCCACAGACCTACTCGGGCCTCTTCTGTGTCACCGTCAACCCCTACAAGTGGCTGCCGGTGTACAACCCTGAGGTGGTGACAGCCTACCGAGGCAAAAAGCGCCAGGAGGCCCCACCCCATATCTTCTCCATCTCTGACAATGCCTATCAGTTCATGCTAACTGGTGAGTGAGAATTACAATTTCCATAGCCATTTGTAAAATAGTTGTATACTGATATCAGAAAAAACATAGGGCTAGTATTCTGAGAATAACTGTTCAGCACAAACATGATAACAGAAATAATAAAATTAGGGAAATATATTTAGAATAAAATGTACTAGTTCCAAACATAGAAGAAGTTTTGCTTAGATTTCTATGCTAAGCACTAGTTCCAAAAATAGAGGAAATTTTGCTTAGATTTCTATGCTAAAATCCAAATTAACTAATGCTAGTTCCACCTCAAAATTAATTAAATTTAGGCATCAACTCTGCATTTGGATTATAGATAATACATAATCTCTCCTAAAAAGTAAGTTTTGAAGACTCACAGTGACAAGTTATCACAAGCACAGTACAAAACTTTAAATTGGACATTGACATAATTTTGTACTATGAACCAGGTGACTGGATGGGACACAAAATTGTTATTAATCTGATATTGATAGATTATTCTCATGGACAAAATGGTAAAATGATGCATTACATAGTCTATACATTAGAAAGGTAATGGGATTATTAATTAGCACATCTTTGATACTTATTTTTAGAAAAACCTTATGAGAAGCAAAGCACAAATTCATATAGTTATTTTTGCAAATGGGGAGTTTTAAAAGACAATTTTGAGTTTATAAGTACTGCGTTGACCTATGTGTTAAGTGTGTTTTTCTAAATATTATCTTTGGCTTCTCTTTTACAGATCGTGAAAACCAGTCAATCTTGATTACGTATGTAGATTTCGTTACTTTCTTTCTGTTTTGATCATTGTAGTGGCTACTACTACCTTAGATTCTGACCTTTTCTTCTGTTTGAACTTGATAGTGGAGAATCTGGTGCAGGGAAGACTGTGAACACGAAGCGTGTCATCCAGTACTTTGCAACAATTGCAGTTACTGGAGAGAAGAAAAAAGAGGAACCTGCCTCTGGCAAAATGCAGGTGGGCATGATATTCATCTAAGGACAGAATAACAGATTTTAAAATCTAACCACGTGCACATCAACAGTAGACTGTATACAGAAAATGTAGTACGTATACACCATGGAATACTATGCAGCCTTAAAAAAGATCAAAATCATATTTTTTGCAGCAACATGAGGAGGCCATTGTCCTAAGAGAATTAATGCAGGAACAGAAAACCAAATACAGCATGTTCTCTTATAAGTGAGAGCTAGACATTGAGCATGAATGGGCATAAAGATGGGAAGAATAGACACTGGAGACTACTAGATGGGGAAGGGTAGGAGGGAGGCAAGAGCCAAAAAACTACCTATTGGGTACTATCTATGCTCATTACCTGGATGACAGGATCATCCATACCCTAAATCTCAGTATCATGCAATATACCCATGTACAAACTTGCACATGTATCCCCTGAATCCAAAATAAAGGTTAATTTTTTTAACTGACTGTGGTGCTTCAAAATCATAGCAGCCAATTGCAAGTGATGCCAGAATTTGGAAAATAACTCTTGGAAGAGCTCATGAGAATGAGATGAATAGGGCAATGTATTGGCAAGTATAATAGGCAAAAATTCTCACAATCATTTTTTAGGTGCTTTTCTGGGCCTGGGGGATGCAGAAATCAAGACCACATCACTGGAGTGTCCCACTCCCCTTCCCGATTTACCTTCTTTTTAACTCATTTTAGAAAGCCTTTCCCAAAGTTACAGAATACTGTGCAGGGGCAATGGGGAAGGGAAAGAGGTCAATGGGAAATTATTTACTGCAACTTTTTTCTTTGTCTGTCTTATTCATTTCTCTTAAGGGGACCCTTGAAGATCAAATCATCAGTGCTAACCCCCTACTGGAAGCCTTCGGCAATGCCAAGACCGTGAGGAATGACAACTCCTCTCGCTTTGTAAGTCTCTTGATCTTCATTTTCTTGAGGATCAGCACTGATTCTTGTGTGCATGTGGTGTCAATATTTTTTCCACCTGTTTGGTCCACAGCTAAAGAAATAGTTTCTGATTTTAATGTGTATAATAATCCCTCCTTTTCTTTTTTAAGGGTAAATTCATCAGGATCCATTTTGGTGCCACAGGCAAACTGGCTTCTGCAGATATTGAAACATGTAAGTTAATAAATATTAGTGATTGAGAATCTTTTTCTTTGTGGGTACATATTAGAAAATCTTGTACTTATTTCTGTTGTGTGAAATTTTCAAACACTTAATTTTTCACTGTGGCATCTTCTTTTAAATGAGCTTAATCTGACTTCCAGATCTGCTAGAGAAGTCCCGAGTTACTTTTCAGCTAAAGGCTGAAAGAAGCTACCACATATTTTATCAAATCCTGTCCAATAAGAAACCAGAGCTCATTGGTAAGACACATCTTTGATTTATTTCTACCAAAGAATAACAGCCCTTCTAAGAAGCCTCTCTGAAATGTTTTTGATGACCAAAGCAATGCTGTCTATATACTGTTCTTTTCCATGTGTTCAGAAATGCTTCTGATCACCACCAACCCATATGACTTCGCATTTGTCAGCCAAGGGGAAATTACTGTGCCCAGCATTGATGACCAGGAAGAGCTGATGGCCACAGATGTAAGTAATAGGTACAAAGTAGTAAAAAGTAAATTCATTTTCCAGTGTACAACACTCTCCTCTATTAGGGTGGAAAGCAGTGGCAGAAAGACTATAAATAGGTAATACAACCCTTTGGGCTTTCTTACTTTTGGAAAAAAATTGTAGGATATTTCAATACCCTCCCCCTACATGTGTTAAAAAGCTTTCACTGCCTGTAATAAATGTTGGGTCTTTAGTATTCCTTAGCTAGTAGGCTCCTTTCATTCTATCTTTCTTATTAGTCATTTTTGGTTGATATTTATGCTCCAATATTAATGTTTCTCTGCTATTTTATGCCACACCTCACACCCAAGATTCTGGGAAGGAGCTGCAATATTATTACAACTAAACATGGAACTCCCACTGTTCTTCTACAGTCACATGTAAACATAAGCCTTATTTTGAATAAACCTCTGTGGGCCAATGATATATCCCTCTCTACTCCCTAAGCAGCATTAGAAGAAGTGGGTTGTCTACTTCAAAAACACTCATTTTGGGGACTCCATAAGCCTTTATATTTATTTTTGAAACAACGCACTCTCTCCCCACCATCACCTCTTTTTTAAGGATTATTGCTTTTTGGCTTACTTTCTTTATATGTAAACTTTATGTATATTTCATGCTTTCTTTTGATTTCTGAATAATCTTCCTTATTTTTAACTTTAATATCAGTGGGACTATCCCAATACCCCCAAGTTAGAGTTGACAGTGCTTGCAAAACTGCTTTTTCTATTAAAATATTATTTTCAAGAAGTCAATAATTCATTTGTGTGGCTTTATATTATAAATATCAGCTTTAACTCTCTATAACTTATTATTATCTTTGTATGTCCAAAAGTGATAGGGAGTTAAGAAACACACCCTGGTCTGCGAGGTTAAAAAAATGTAGCAGTCTTGCTCTAAGACTTCCGTAATAATGTCTAGTTTCTGTAAATAGGTAGAGTTAGTGAGCTGGAAGTGGAAGTCAATAATCTGGGGAAAGAGTCTTAGGTAAGAATGGTAAATAAACATATTTTCCTCTGCCTGCTCTGAATCCTGCCCCCATTTATAAGCCTTTTCAAAGCCTATGTGGGCAACTAAAAAGGTAATCAAAATTCGATAGAGAAAAAAGACACAGAAATATTATACTAAATGGCAAAATTCCTTCTTTTCATAAATGTCTCTTCTCTGCATGAGAAATAAATAACTAGGTAAAGTTTGCTACCCCAGGCATCTCGTGGTCGCTGAGCTGTGGCTTGCTATCAGAGAGGCATGTGGAGAAAGACTCACAACCATTGCTGTTCTCCTCATACCCTCTTTCCAACTTTATCACTCATGCCCATTAGCAGGGGAAGGTAGACTGGGATTATGCATTAGGATAGGACAAATAGGAGAAGAAGGAGCAACAGAGAGACTCGTGAGACTGGAGAAAAGAAACAAAAATAGCCAAAAGACCAAGAGGAGCATGTGCCTGAGAAGCAAAGGGGGGCTGGGGTGGAGAAAAGGGGCAAAGCACTGGCCTTGGCATCAAAAGTCATGGCTCTTAGTCCTGGTTCAGTGAGTGTGGACAAGTCACATCATATGCTGTGACCAAATGGACTCATGACTCAAATGGAAAGACTGATGCATACCTCTTCGTGTTGCCATGTGGATCAAAAGGTAAAGCATATGAGTACCTTTTGAAGATGGCAAAGTGCTAGTCAAATATAAGGCAAGGCGTGATGAGAAAAAAGTGGGAGACAGCCCCGGTGTTCTGAGGGATTCTTCCATGGTGCTAATTGGGGATGAGCAAATTCAACTCTTTTGACAGAGTGCTGTGGACATCCTGGGTTTCACTGCTGATGAAAAGGTGGCCATTTACAAGCTCACTGGAGCCGTGATGCATTATGGGAACATGAAATTCAAGCAAAAGCAAAGGGAAGAGCAGGCAGAGCCAGATGGCACGGAAGGTACCACCCCCTGTTGGTATCTTCCACTTGACAAAGCTGACATAGTGAACTTTTCAGAGGCAGGGACCGTGTTTTTACTTTCTCTGACCTAGCTCGTGAAGGGCAAAAGTATTACGAGAAGGAAATTACACACTGCCTGACGTTTTACATTATTTAGCAGATTTGTGATTTCTGCTCATTCCATTATTCATTGGCTTTTCATAAGCTCATATTTGCTATTTGACTAAAACATATTTTATTTCAGGATAATCTGTGTGCCCACAGGCACTGAAAGAAACAGAGATCTGAATATTTCTGTCACTACTCCTCTAGGTTAGGGTTTCTCAAATTATTTTTATCTGTGGTCTACTTTTGCCAGGTTAAATATCACAGACAGCATCGATTCCCCAACCTCCAATTTATCATCACAAGAAATGACTAAAATTAGTGCAAGTGGTGGCAATGCTTTTGAGGCAATATGAACAAATGAAAAGGTTTCAATGACATTTGCACATCTTACTTTTTGAGTGAAACCTTTTTTCTTTGTCATCATCATTTACATTTTAAATTGTGTAAGCCATGGTCAGTTTCACCATTCTCACCTTGTTCACACAGTTGCTGACAAAGCTGCTTATCTGACAAGTCTGAACTCTGCTGACCTGCTCAAATCTCTCTGCTATCCCAGAGTCAAGGTCGGCAATGAGTTCGTAACCAAAGGCCAGACTGTGCAGCAGGTAAACATGACTTAAATTGTCTGATTTATTTGAACCGCAAGTGACTCAGGAGTTCATCACTGTTTTCAATTTAAAAAACTAAACTATCACTTCTGTTGAAGGTGTACAATGCAGTGGGTGCTCTGGCCAAAGCCATCTACGAGAAGATGTTCCTGTGGATGGTCACCCGCATCAACCAGCAGCTGGACACCAAGCAGCCCAGGCAGTACTTCATCGGGGTCTTGGACATTGCTGGCTTTGAGATCTTTGATGTGAGTAGTGAACTGACAGAAAATTAGCCAGTGCAAATCCTCTTGTTAGAGCATACAAAATCACATTTACAAAATGTACCTTACAAAATATACAAATGTAATTCCTACTGAAAGGAGTCTTTGAAAAGATATGAAAAGTAAATAGGTATAAATAGGAAAAGAGAAAATTCTATTCTTTTGAGTCTAGAAGTCTCAAAAGTTGATCCCTGAGAGGTTAAAATAGTCAAAATCTATCCTGGATCCAAGCAGATGAGCATGAGAACACCTTTTTAAAATTACTCTAAGGAAATATTTCAGAGTCCTCATTTAACAGTATTTTGCCTAGTATGCATGATCTCATGCAGTTACTTGGAAAATAAGTATTCAAAGAATCAATTCTACTTTGTTTAGAACTATATAATAGGAAAACAATCTGAAGGTTTATAATTTAATAAACCAAAATGCCTTAAATTCAGAAGAAAATACTAATAGATACTCTGTAGATAGAATACTTGTTATGCGTAATTTCCTATATTTATCTTGTTCTGTAGTTCAACAGCCTGGAGCAGCTGTGCATCAACTTCACCAACGAGAAACTGCAACAGTTTTTCAACCACCACATGTTCGTGCTGGAGCAGGAAGAGTACAAGAAGGAAGGCATCGAGTGGGAGTTCATTGACTTCGGGATGGACCTGGCTGCCTGCATCGAGCTCATCGAGAAGGTTCATATGACTTTTCTAGCTTTCAAAACATGAAAACCAAATTGCTTGCCTCCCTGTGCTTAATCACACTCCCTGTTCTCAAAGAACAAGCAGTGCTGTTTCCTGACACACTCGTATATTCTGATTGGTTGTGAGGTATGTTCCAAGTGATCTGTTATTAATAAGTAGAGCAGTTTGTAGAAAAATGTTTATCACTCACACACATATGGATTCGCATTTATCCCTCTAAAAACTTAATTCTCCCTCACTTTTCTTCCTACACTATTTCATGCATATGGGAGAAAGGGATGAAATTACAGCTATTCCTCTGGGTTGTGTAATTAACCCTGGTGTACCCATGACAGTGTATTGTGCATTTATCATCATCCCTCATGTGTAACAAGGCAGGCTATGTCAACACGTCTTAAAGATTGGAAGGTTAGTCCTTCAACTGTTGCAGTCATTAAGTCTTTCCCCGTTCATGATAACTACTGAATAAACACCAAACCTCTGTATCACTTACCTAGAAAATGGGCCCTGAATTCCCCATTACTAAGGGGGTGAAGCAATAGTTACATCAGATCTAGATATGTTAACACTCATCAAGCAATCGTTAAACACTTCCAAAAGTATCTTGGGAGCTTGTCATATACTTATTGATATCAATAAAGTGTATGTGTGAACCCTACCCTAAGCAGTGGGAAAGGAAGCGTAAATGCAATTGCCACCTAGGAAAACTTAAAATACTCAGGTTAAAATTCACAAAAATATGAAAGATAAGAGTTTAAAAGCAGACTAGGTCTGCACAATTTGGGGAAAAGATACGTTAATCTGGTGATATAATATCTCTACTATTCATGAAAACTTTATGGTCTTCAGAAAAGGCATTTATTTTATTCTCTAGTATTTCAGTTTCTGTATCACCAAAATAGTCTTAGGGGTACAATTTGTGAATTTGTTAAATCATCAATGTTGAATTTTCTTTCAGTCTTTCCTATCAAATACATTAAGAAAAAAGCCAAACTCTTAGAAAGCAAAACCAAATTACTATCACTTAACTCCACAGTGGTAGAGAATATAGGTTAAAGTACAGAATTTTAATGATACAATATAAGATGCAATTTCCTCCTAGGAATGGATCATTTTTAGTCCTTACACATAATCTCTCTTCCCTTCATACTTCTGTCACCTCTAGATTCGAGGTAAAGGAAGTTATATTGTCAGTAGGAAAGAAAGTAGTCAGATATATACATTTATGGAATAAAGAATTCAATTTTGAAGTGATGTTTTCAGAATCTGATTTTATACACTGAACATAAAGTGTGCCAAATAGTTCAGATGTATTTTTTTTAACTGAGTCTTTCTAGCAAGTATATTTCCCATATGTTCTGGGTACATAATGACTGCTTCACATGTCATGCCTATTTAATTTATCATTCAAAGTCTTCTTTTGAAACATTGTATTTTCAGTTTTCCATCAATTACATGGAGCATAACTTTCTGAGGGACTCATCATTATCATCCCTTTTTTCCTATTCTTAGCCTATGGGCATCTTCTCCATCCTAGAAGAGGAGTGCATGTTCCCCAAGGCAACAGACACCTCCTTCAAGAACAAGCTGTATGAACAACATCTTGGAAAATCCAACAACTTCCAGAAGCCCAAGCCTGCCAAAGGCAAGCCTGAGGCTCACTTCTCACTGGTGCACTATGCCGGCACCGTGGACTACAACATCGCCGGCTGGCTGGACAAAAACAAGGACCCCCTGAATGAGACTGTGGTGGGGCTGTACCAGAAGTCTGCAATGAAGACTCTGGCTTTCCTCTTCTCTGGGGCACAAACTGCTGAAGCAGGTCATGTTTAATAGCACTAATATGTTACAAGAGTCACAAAATAGATATACACTGTTCAACAGAGACAAATGTAGTTACAGCAAAACCTGACACAAAAACACTGGCCAATACATGCCTAATGAAAGAAAGTGTATTTAATAACTGTGATACAGTCTTACAGTCACAGACTTTCAGAGCTAAGTGACACTATGGAGCATTTAGCCCACAGCCTGATTTCACTCATGAGAAAACAAGAATCTCAGAGAGGTTAAGTGATTTGCTCAGGATCATAAAACTCATTTCTATCATTTTAATAGTATTGGTTCTTTCAAGGTTCTCCAGCTAGGCTGGAGATAAGGAAATCCTTTGTCAGGGCCCTAGTGCTTGGGGAACTGAAGTTCTGTTCTCTTAAGTGTTCTAAGACCAGATGTGCAAGTAACACCATGGAAGCACAGGCAAATGGGAGCCAGGATTTCCCTGCAGGTGAGCAGAGGCTCACCTACCTGGGACCAAGTGTGCAACTCTGCCTGTTGTCCAAGTGAGGCCTGCACTAACAAGGCATTACTACTCTGTCTCCTTGGCCCTTCCTTCAGAGAACAGACATTGCTGACTTGGAGTAGGGGAGTCCCATCCCCTACCCACATCTACCCCTTACACTCACAATTCTTTTGTTGTTGGTTTTTTCATGAATGACTATAAAGTCAGCCAAATCTTAGACTTTCTTAATCTACAATTGAGGGAGGAGAGATATGGAAAGAATAGGAATGATGCAAGTGAATGAGTGCAAATTTAAATTCTAAAGGGAATTTTGGCAGTCCTGATGTTTATGGATAGTACTTAAAAGGCAGTTGCAAATAACTTTATTTTTCCCATTTTGTTTTTTAGAGGGTGGTGGTGGAAAGAAAGGTGGCAAAAAGAAGGGTTCTTCTTTCCAGACAGTGTCAGCTCTTTTCAGGGTACAGTATATTCTTGAATTACAGATAAATACTTTCATTAAAAAACTAAACCATCAAAACAGAAAATTTTTTAAAAGATATTTATGGTGAAAGTGAATAAAGTAGTACAGTATACTTTTTAGTATACTACTAAAGGTTTTGTAAACTTTTTAAATGGCTTAGGAAAAAAAATTAGCACAAAAAAACAAACTACATATCTCTTCACATCAATCTTTATGATACGTGAACCATTGCCCCTGAGCCCTACATCCAAGAGATCTGGTATTGTACAAATTTCACATGAAATCAAATGCTCTTTTAAAAATAACCACTGTATTCAATTACATCTCCTTCATGTGACAAAAATCGCAATACAAAGTTTCTCTGACTGGTGGTGCTTGAGAATAACAAACTGAAATTAACTGATTTTGTGTAATCTGTAATTTCCTACCTGTGCTCCACTTATATGATTCCTCTCTGTTATGATAATTTGTTTTTCCTTGAGACAGCTCATTAAAATGTGAAATGAAAGACAAATATTGATAGGGACTCTCATGTCGATGCAACTAGAAATGATTTTAAAACTTTTCATATGGTTCCACAGGAGAATTTGAATAAGCTGATGACCAACTTGAGGAGCACTCACCCCCACTTTGTGCGGTGCATCATCCCCAATGAAACTAAAACTCCTGGTAAGACATTTCTGATATCCAGACAAGCTCCAGTGTGTGTGCGATAGACCACGAAGTATGGCATGTGGATTCATTCTCTTAGGTGCCATGGAGCATGAGCTTGTCCTGCATCAGCTGAGGTGTAACGGTGTGCTGGAAGGCATCCGCATCTGCAGGAAAGGCTTCCCAAGCAGAATCCTTTATGCAGACTTCAAACAGAGGTTTGTGTCTCATTATTTTTCCCTTCCAATGTCTTAGTCTACACAAAATCACTATATAATTCCAACATTTTTAAACTTTTCCTTGAAAAATGACATGCAATTATTTGAAAATTGATCATAAAAGAAAGAAGCTTAGGTTTATATTATCATAAGTTTTTCATCATATCTTCCGAAGTTTTAAATAAAGCACTGACTTTTTAAATGGCATTTTGTTCACCAAAACTTAATCTATCATCTTTTCAATGATAGCTACCAAATGTTCTACTGTTTTTTTCAGTGAAGAAAAACCACATTTTTATATTCTTTTTATTCTGACAGATACAAGGTTCTAAATGCGAGTGCTATCCCAGAGGGTCAGTTCATTGACAGCAAGAAGGCTTCTGAGAAACTTCTAGGGTCTATTGAAATTGACCACACCCAGTACAAATTCGGTCATACCAAGGTATCACCAGTCCAAATTTCTATCTGTCATAATTCTATCACTTTTAGACTTTCCTGTAAGTGGAAATAACATATTTAACTTGTTCTTTCATAAGGTTTTCTTCAAAGCTGGCCTGCTGGGAACTCTAGAGGAAATGCGAGATGAAAAGCTAGCTCAACTCATCACGCGCACTCAAGCCATATGCAGAGGGTTCCTGATGAGAGTGGAGTTCAGAAAGATGATGGAGAGGAGGTGAGAGCCCACACACAAGTCTTCCTGCTCCACACTTTCATAAATGAATCCACTGCAGTCATTACTTTTGTTGAGTGATGATCACTTTCCACATTATTCTCCATTTGCATCTTTTTTTCTTTTCCTACAGAGAGTCCATCTTCTGCATTCAGTACAACATCCGTGCTTTCATGAATGTGAAGCACTGGCCCTGGATGAAGCTGTATTTCAAGATCAAGCCCCTCCTCAAGAGTGCAGAGACAGAGAAGGAGATGGCCAACATGAAGGAAGAATTTGAGAAAACCAAAGAAGAGCTGGCTAAGACAGAGGCAAAAAGGAAAGAACTAGAAGAAAAGATGGTGACGCTAATGCAAGAGAAAAATGACTTACAACTCCAAGTTCAAGCTGTAAGTATTATACATTGCAGTTCAGCCACATCTTATTACTTTTAACGTTTTAAAATGAATGGTTTCCACTGAAACATTTGTTCTGATTGTTTGCTGTTCAAAAACACCAAGACTCGGGCATAAAGAAGCAATAGATGCAAAGTCACATATCATGCTGCACACGTTCATATGTGCATTCACACACAGTTTGGTCATCAGTGAGCAAATTCATAAAAATATCAATAGACATTTTCCTTTATTTATGGAACTTTCTCTCAGATCAGATTATTCTTTCTTTAGTGTATTTTTGTGCATAAAATAGAAGTTATGTTGTTTTTATCAGGGCAGAGAAATGGCTAAGTTAATCCCCTCTTAAATGTGAGAAAACTGAGTCCTACAATGAACAAGCGATTTTTCCAAAGTTGCAAAGGTTAGTAAAGTGGCAGATTTTTGCCAAAGGGCTAGTTTTCCTGATTTGGCCTGCCACACATGAATATCTGAAGGAAATTTGTTATTATACTTGATCAGTAGATAACAGTATTAACATTTTGTCTGTTTCATTTTAAAAGTTAGCAACTGGTATACATGTTGACCAAACAGGTAGTCACTGAAATTTCCACCTTATAATAAATTATTGTGTGCTTATAGATATAGCTCAGACAAATGAAAATGCTTAATTTCTCCCTTTAGGAAGCAGATGCCTTGGCTGATGCAGAGGAAAGATGTGATCAGTTGATTAAAACCAAAATCCAACTTGAGGCCAAAATCAAAGAGGTAACTGAAAGAGCTGAGGATGAGGAAGAGATCAATGCTGAGCTGACAGCCAAGAAGAGGAAACTGGAGGATGAATGTTCAGAGCTCAAGAAAGACATTGATGACCTTGAGCTGACACTGGCCAAGGTTGAGAAGGAGAAACATGCCACAGAGAACAAGGTACAAATCATGATCCATTTTAGAATATTTATAAGCACCTTGATACTGAAGTATTTTAATTAAAAATTTAATCTTAAGATGATTGAATATAAAAAATACCACTGTCATAACTATTTCATCTCTTTAGTCTTCACCACCTCAATGTACTTACTTGACCTTTACCTCCTATTTTTTCAGCCATTATAGGCCTGGGTTAGCTCCTGGTTCTCATTTTCCATCTTACGCTGACATTATCCTAAGATACTACAGCATCATGTTTTTCATCAAGATAATACGTTGTCATTGACATTCTGGTCATCTGTTCTAATCTAAAGGTGAAAAACCTCACAGAAGAGATGGCAGGTCTGGATGAAACCATTGCTAAGCTGACCAAGGAGAAGAAGGCTCTCCAGGAGGCCCACCAGCAGACCCTGGATGACCTGCAGATGGAGGAGGACAAAGTCAACACCCTGACCAAAGCTAAAACCAAGCTAGAACAGCAAGTGGACGATGTAAGTGTGAAAAAGAAAATGTTTCCCCTTGCAATGAAATAAACAATTGTGACATGAAACCAGCACTGATAGTCATAAGCCTTTAACGCTTGGTCTGTGAATAAAGTTCTTGTGCTATTTGTTGTATCTTTAAATTTTTTTCTTATGTATCTTTGAAGGCTACTAGCATAGGGTTCAGTGCTTAAGAGCTGAAATAAATAAAATGCATCATAAATTTAGCTTGAAGGATCTCTGGAACAAGAAAAGAAACTTTGCATGGACTTAGAAAGAGCCAAGAGAAAACTGGAGGGTGACCTAAAATTGGCCCAAGAATCCACAATGGATACAGAAAATGACAAACAGCAACTTAATGAGAAACTCAAAAAGTAAGTATGGTATAATTCAGCTATAACCTGCTTGTTGTATGTCAATGCAAATGAAACATACGCTAAAAAGATCTCCAAAATGTTACATCATGACATATGGAAAAAAATAATGACATCTTTGACCTTTTTATTTAATTAAACTAATACAATTATTAATCTGTAAAACATTGTACTACTCACTCCTTCAACACCAGCAGTATAAAAAAAGTCTTAGATTATACATAGAAAAGAAGATTGGTAAGAGAAGTGATTATAAGCTAATGTGTTGCTCTTCTAATAGGAAAGAGTTTGAAATGAGCAATCTGCAAGGCAAGATTGAAGATGAACAAGCCCTTGCAATACAGCTACAAAAGAAGATCAAAGAATTACAGGTAAGTTATAACCTCCACCTTTTCTGGGCATTACAGGAAACAAAACTGACATAAATTCACATTAATGTTGACATATCACAACCAGGCCCGCATTGAGGAGCTGGAGGAGGAAATCGAGGCAGAGCGGGCCTCCCGGGCCAAAGCAGAGAAGCAGCGCTCTGACCTCTCCCGGGAGCTGGAGGAGATCAGTGAGAGGCTGGAAGAAGCCGGTGGGGCCACTTCAGCCCAGATTGAGATGAACAAGAAGCGGGAGGCTGAGTTCCAGAAAATGCGCAGGGACCTGGAAGAGTCCACCCTGCAGCACGAAGCCACGGCAGCTGCTCTTCGGAAGAAGCACGCAGATAGTGTGGCTGAGCTTGGGGAGCAGATTGACAGCCTTCAGCGGGTCAAGCAGAAGCTGGAGAAGGAAAAGAGTGAGCTGAAGATGGAGATCAATGACCTTGCTAGTAACATGGAGACTGTCTCCAAAGCCAAGGTCTTCATTAACTTGTGCCCTTTTCATCTTTATTTGCAACAATTCAAAATGACCAAGTTTATATATGACTATTTTTAGCCAAATTACACAAACATTAGATGGCATCTGAAGCTTAAACTTACTCCTAGTACACATTATTGTATTGAATCACTTAAGTTCTCTTAACTTCTTTGTAGAAAACACTTTAACCTTTGATACTATTACCATGAAAAAAAATGTAATTACAAAAAAGGTTTATCTAAAAACCATACTCTAAATGATGCAGAATTTAAATGATGTTCACACTTTCAAAGAGAATATAATTTTGATAATCATGTGTTCATTATTTAGCCAAATTAAATGCCTCTACTACTTTATAGCCACCATGCAAGATTGATAGAAAAGTAAATAAAAATCAGCCCCTTTCCACAGGTAGTTACAGATCTCTAAATCCCAGCCTCTAGAATAAAAATGTATTGTCTCTTCCTGTTTTCTACCTCTCACCCCAGGCAAACTTTGAGAAAATGTGCCGCACCCTAGAGGACCAGCTTAGTGAAATAAAAACAAAGGAAGAAGAGCAACAACGCTTAATAAATGAGTTGTCAGCCCAGAAGGCACGTTTACACACAGAATCAGGTCAGTAAATAAATAGCATCAACCTTCGGAGAGGTGACGAATGAAAGACAAGCCTTTACCTACCTATCAAATACAAGTAATTTCTCAAGCTCTGTACATTCATTTATCATGTCTTACTTATTCCTCCATCTTTTTATTATGAGACAGTAAAATGCAATGATTCTAAGCGACAATTGGGGAAAAGAATTAAGCTCCCTGGGCTCAGGAGATTTTTTGTGACTCAGCATTACTCAAAAGTTCTCGAATTCTAAAATATCAAAGAAAACTCATACATTTTTTAAAAAGCAAGAAATAACCTTCTCAACATCACTGAAAATCTTGAGGGGTTTTTTCATCATATGAAATAAGAGGGTTACAATGTTATTCCATTCTTTAAATTATTGTTTACCTAGACAACAGAACTAAATCATTGATGTTTTGTCTTCCACAGGTGAGTTTTCACGACAGCTAGATGAAAAAGATGCTATGGTTTCTCAGCTATCCCGAGGCAAACAAGCATTTACACAACAGATTGAAGAATTAAAGAGGCAGCTAGAAGAGGAGACTAAGGTGAGAATTCTCCAGCTGATACTTTCAATCACTTGAACCGTGCAACATAACACACTATTGAACTTTGCATAGAGAATTTCAATGATCAGAAGATAAACTTATATCACATAGTTTTTGGTTGGTCTAGGCCAAGAGCACTCTGGCCCATGCCCTGCAGTCAGCCCGCCATGACTGTGACCTGCTGCGGGAACAGTATGAGGAGGAGCAGGAAGCCAAGGCTGAGCTGCAGAGGGGAATGTCCAAGGCCAACAGTGAGGTTGCCCAGTGGAGGACCAAGTACGAGACGGACGCCATCCAGCGCACAGAGGAGCTGGAGGAGGCCAAGTATGTGCTTTTAGTGCAGGGGAGCAGGAAGAAATAAAAGTAAAGGCAGTGAAGGAAAAATAGAAGAAAGAGAATATTCCGGGCTTGGGGACACATGAAAGACTTCAGCTTATTTTATTATAGGTTGGTGGATTCCACCATATTCTTCTTCTTAAAGCCCAGTGTATGTCCACTGGAGAATGGAATGAGACCAGATCCCTCCACCCATTCTTGTCCAGAAGCATCTTAAATTTCTTTCCACCAAGATGGATTATTAATTATCAGAATATTATTTATGAATTAAATAGAATTAGTATCTTTTAATAGAAGGAAAAATTGAGACATTGAGACTCTCTGGTAAATTATTATGAGTATTACAATTAACAATAATCAGTTTTTCCTCAGATGGAGTATTGAATGTTTATATTAAGGTTGTCATATGCTGTCATTATTTCAACTAACAACCTATATCAATGGATGTATTCACTAATTACACGTACTGTTTGCGGACTACAAGTCATGAGATTTACAGATTTACACATAGAAGGAAAAAAAGCATTATACTCCTAGTGAAAGAAGCCTTTCTAAATTTAATTTATCTCAGTAGTTGTTAGAATTAAACAGGATGAAAGAGTTTGTAGCAAGCATTTCCAGAGAGAGTTCTAGATAAGAGTGTGGGCTGGGAAAGGTCATGAATTACATAGGTTGGTGAAGAGTAGTAGACAAGATTTTAGAGGAAATTTGGGAAATGCAATAATGCAGTAATATTTATTATCAAAGGCCACCAAATCCAGAAAGTTACTGATTCATTGTATGACCTTGAACATATCACTCTGGGCCGCAGTTTCCTCATTTGCAAAATAAACAGAACCATACTAGAAAATGCTTAAAGATACTACTCAATGCTACCATTCCTTGGTGATATGCTTCCTGTTCATGGTTGCCATTTCTTCCTCAAAGTAAATAAAACTCAGCCCTTTTCCACAAGTAGTTACAGATCTCTAAATCCCAGGTTTCAAAAGAGAAATGTACTGTCTCTTCCTGTTTTCTACTTCTCACCCCAGGCAAAGTTCAAGAAAATGTGCCACACTATAGAGGGCCAGCTTAGTGAAATAAAAACAAAGAAAGAGGAGCAAATTTTCACATTGCTCACTCAGCTCTAGTGCTAACTTATATTCTCTTTCTCTCATACACACACATACACACACACAGGTGCTTCGTAAATATGTTTGGCAATACCTGAGATGGATAAAAATAAGAACTCAACAGGGAAAACAGAATTCTAAGAGAGTGAAAATGTTTAGAAAAATTCAACAACTTGTAGACAACTCTTGGGGAAATATGCTTTCCTAGTCAGCAGCTTTATAAAGGGCACTGTGGTGACTCTGAGTCTGCTCTTGGTCACTCATACTGACCCAATTTTCAGGAAGAAGCTAGCCCAGCGTCTGCAGGATGCAGAAGAACATGTAGAAGCTGTGAATTCCAAATGTGCTTCTCTTGAAAAGACAAAGCAGAGGCTACAGAATGAAGTAGAGGACCTCATGATTGATGTGGAACGATCTAATGCTGCCTGCATAGCTCTCGATAAGAAGCAAAGAAACTTTGACAAGGTGGTCCACAGTACCAGCTCCCCTTGGGGGAAACTGACATCATTCTTGGTTTCAAAGGCTTATTTTCTATATACTTCCAGGTTCTGGCAGAATGGAAACAGAAGTATGAGGAAACTCAGGCTGAACTTGAGGCCTCCCAGAAGGAGTCGCGTTCTCTCAGCACTGAGCTGTTCAAGGTGAAGAATGCCTACGAGGAATCCCTGGATCATCTTGAAACTCTAAAGCGAGAGAATAAGAACTTACAACGTGAGTCACTGTAATCATTCTATTTCAAAAATGGTAGGGAGACATCTTTTCAATTTTTCTTTCTACTTAACTGAAATTTGGTACTTTATTATTACAGAGGAGATTTCTGACCTGACAGAGCAAATTGCAGAGGGTGGAAAGCATATCCATGAACTGGAGAAAGTAAAGAAACAACTTGATCATGAGAAGAGTGAACTACAGACTTCCCTAGAGGAAGCAGAGGTACATTTTTCATTTGCTTAGCTCTGCATTATAAATAAATTGAAAATTAATAGCAACTGAGATCTCTATCATGTTGCAAATCTTTAGGGAATAACACAAGTAATTCAGTGAAAAATACTGAATTGTACCTTGAGAATGCAGAGCTAATAGGCTACATTAAGACGTATGATAGTTTATGGGTTTTTTAATGCCTTCTTGGGGAAATTATCATAATGTGAAAGAAATAAAAAGCTCTTTAGGTAACCTAAATAAATGTTGCTTTTATTAAGGCATCTCTTGAGCATGAAGAAGGCAAAATTCTTCGCATTCAACTTGAGCTAAATCAGGTGAAATCTGAGATTGACCGAAAAATTGCTGAAAAAGATGAAGAACTCGATCAGCTAAAGAGGAACCATCTCAGAGTTGTGGAGTCAATGCAGAGTACACTGGATGCTGAGATCAGGAGCAGAAATGATGCTCTGAGGATCAAGAAGAAGATGGAGGGAGATCTTAATGAAATGGAAATCCAGCTGAACCATGCCAACCGCCAGGCTGCTGAGGCACTAAGGAATCTTAGAAACACACAAGGAATACTGAAGGTATGCTGGGGTAAATACACATAGTGTTGTACAGTCTCAGTGCTACTGTGTAACTCAAATTTTAATGTTTTACGAGGACTATGTGTCATAAATCACCTAAGCAACATGGTAATCAGTTCAAAGTTCAAAGTTATACACACACAACTGAAAAAGAGCTTAATTCTGGAAGGCCCAGGACAGAGTTTGCTTTGTTATCTGCAGAGAAGCACTGTGGTGAGGGGTAGGGAGATAGAGGAAGTGATGAAAGAGTTTGGCTACATGCCACTGCTTAAATCACTTCATTAATCTGGACTTCATTTGCTTAATATGTAAAATAGCACCACTGGACTCGCTGAAGTCTAAGGATACTTTCCTGATCCAAAATTTTGTAGAGCTAGCCATGGTATTTTTTAATGATTCAGGGTCTAAAATAATAAAACATCATGTTCTTTTGAGTAGAACTGCAACCCTCAGCTACAAAGAATTTATTATTAAAGGTACTTGCCGATTGCTCCTATCTAATCATACTCTAAGTCATTAAGATCAAAGAGTGTACATGACCATAAGTTTGCATTTGCTTTAAGTGCAGCATGAGTAAGAGGCTTTTTCTCTTTCTGTGTAGGACACTCAGCTACATTTGGATGATGCCATCAGAGGCCAAGATGACCTTAAGGAACAACTGGCAATGGTTGAGCGCAGAGCTAACCTGATGCAGGCTGAAGTTGAAGAGCTCAGGGCATCCCTGGAACGGACTGAGAGAGGCAGGAAAATGGCAGAGCAAGAGCTTCTGGATGCCAGTGAACGTGTGCAACTTCTGCACACTCAGGTGAGGTTCAAGACTATGGTTTAGAAAATGTACTCCCTGAAGCTGAAGATAATTTGAGAAGATAAGCTTGTTTATAAAGTAAAAAGTAATCTTCGTCCCTTCCTGGAGCTCTGGAAAATGTACAGGGTGCTGTAAGGATTTACTGGGACCTAGCTGGTTCACGAGTATATTTATGGGCTGGCATAATCATGTTGAGTTGAAATAATCTGGAATTCTAGAAACTTTTATTTAAAAAGCACAGAAGACCATCTACAAATAAACATACACACAACATTTGTAGCTGTCTTGTCTTATGCAACTCTAAGCTACAAAAAGATAGGCAAATAAAATAGAGGAGAAAAACAAAAAGCCACTAAATAATATTTACGTATCACATATGCACAGAATGCTAACCTCATGGGATACAAAGAGAAGCTCTTTAGTTCAAATTCATGGAGGCCATTATTAATACTAGTTAGCATTTGTTGTATATAGTGAATTTGTTAAATAAATGGTGGTATATCCTCACAATGGCTAATATGTAACCACTGTAGTATGAATTTATTGCCATGGGAAGATGTTTATATTATAGTAAGTTAAAAAAGCAACTTAAAAATAATATAGGCTGTGTGATCTTTTTTCCCGTATAAACATATAGGAAACATCCAGAAAGATAAATAAAAGTTTATCCTTTATCTCTGGTGAGAGCACAGTAATTATTTTTTGTTTCTTGTCTGCTAATTTGTATGTTCTACTATCTTTTACAATAAATATATAGTACTGTATACTTCAGAAAGTTGCACTATATAAACATAACTATTATAGAAGTGTTAAAATTGCATGCTTTATATAATTTTAAAATCAAATTAATATGCAACATTTTTCTTATTAACAGTATCTGAAGTTGACTATTCCAAACACCATCAACTTGCCAAAAACAGAAGGGATTCTTGGCTCATTTTTATCCCAACAAGACTACTATTTTTTTTTTTTTTTTTTTTTTTTTGAGAAGGGGTCTCACTCTGTCACCCAGGCTGGAGTGCAGTGGTGCGATCTCGGCTCACAGCAAGCTCCGACTCCCATGTTCACGCCATTCTCCTGCCTCAGCCTCCCGAGTAGCTGGGACTACAGGCGCCCACCACCACACTCGACTAATTTTTTGTATTTTTAGTAGAGACGGGGTTTCACCGTGTTAGCCAGGATGGTCTCGATCTCCTGACCCCGTGATCTGCCCACCTCGGCCTCCCAAAGTGCTGGGATTACAGGCATGAGCCACTGCGCCCAGCCAACAAGACAACTATTTATGCATTTATAAATATGGAGTCAACCAACATGAGTTAATAGCTAAAAATTACTGATTCATTTTAAATGAGCTGTGGTGTGGTGCTCCATGGTACAGCACTTTGAGTTTTGTGGGCTGTGTTTCATGCTTACAAATGGCAATGGTAATAGTTGAATATGTTTGACATCAAAAATTAAATTTAGAAGTTTGATTAAAGAGCTATATATAGAAAGGAGAAAAGGCATAAACTTAGAATTATCTTCTAATTTGGTTTTTATTCTAAACATTTCTTATGATCAATAATTTTTGCCTGTGTACACTAGGTAAAATGACAATGTGAGTTGTTATAAGTAAATGTGCTTCTCTTCTCTTTCATTAATTTGAAACAGAACACCAGCCTGATCAACACCAAGAAGAAGCTGGAAACAGACATTTCCCAAATCCAGGGAGAGATGGAGGACATCGTCCAGGAAGCCCGCAATGCAGAGGAGAAGGCCAAGAAGGCCATCACTGATGTAAGCAAGATGAGCATTTGTCTTACTGACACATGCATGCTGCCTGCTATCATCAGAATTCATTATTTTCAAAATTTATTTGCTAACTAGGCTGCCATGATGGCTGAGGAGCTGAAGAAGGAACAGGACACCAGCGCCCACCTGGAGCGGATGAAGAAGAACATGGAGCAGACCGTGAAGGATCTGCAGCTCCGTCTGGATGAGGCTGAGCAGCTGGCGCTGAAGGGTGGGAAGAAGCAGATCCAGAAACTGGAGGCCAGGGTAGGTCTCCACAACTTCACTCAATTCCTTGTGGCCAGTTACAGCCAAACTGGTAAACGTCTTTGTTCCCTTCCAGGTGAGAGAGCTTGAAAGTGAGGTGGAAAGTGAACAGAAGCACAATGTTGAGGCTGTCAAGGGTCTTCGCAAACATGAGAGAAGAGTGAAGGAACTCACTTACCAGGTGACCAGTGTTTTCATATCTTCCAGGCCTATAGTTTTCAAGAAAATCATGAGTTGTTTTAAAATAATGGCACCATCTACTTGCACCTCTTTCAGACTGAGGAGGACCGCAAGAATATTCTCAGGCTGCAGGACTTGGTGGACAAATTGCAAACCAAAGTCAAAGCTTACAAGAGACAAGCTGAAGAGGCTGTGAGTATCTCCACAGTGGAAATGAAAGGTTCAGATGCACATCCAGGTTTTTTGGGGCCTAAAGTTTATAGAATTTAGGGGGTTTTCTTTAAATTGGGAATACATAATTAGGTATGAACATGAATATTTAGAATGAGAAAAATGAACCATAAATTACTGGAGCCTTATAGATTTGAGTTTATTTCTTCTGAGACCTCTTTAAGCAATTTTCCAGACATGTTAACATACAAATGTTTCTTAGTTGCAATCCACTTCCCTCCCTATCTAGAACATTCTACAACCCCCAGCACTCATATGGACCTGTGCAAATGAGAGTATGAATTCTAAGCTTCATTTAACTTCATGATAAATCCATCTTGGGACTTTTTTTTTCAATTTGGCTGCAGTTATCTTTTTCATTCTGTTAATTCTGAAACCTTCCTTAGGGTTCTTGGCACCAAATGCCACTACTGCACCTATTTTTTAAAGTTTCTTTTTTAGAAACAAGATTGAATTCAGATCCCTGCTACTTTGTTCTTCCAGTTATCACTGCAGCCTCTTCAGTTTGCCAGAAAGAGAGTCAAGTGAGAGAGAGACTTGAGGAGGGTCATAAGCACATTCATTTACATAGGCGAGTTTGTGGGATGCCTTGCTCTCAAATAACTATGTTACTAAATAATAAAGCCTTTTTCTCTTCTTTTTTTTTTTTTCGAGGCAGAGTTTTGCTCTTGTTGCCCAGGCTGGAGTGCAATGGCACAATCTCAGCTCACTGCAATCTCTGCCTCCTGGGTCCAAGAGATTCTCCTGCCTCAGCCTCCTGAGTAGCTGGAATTACAGGCATCCACCACTACGCTGGGCTAATTTTAGTAAAGATGGGGGTTTCACCATGTTGGCCAGGCTGGTCTCGAATTCCTGACCTCAGGTGATCCACCCGCCTCAGTCTCCCAGAGTGCTGGGATTACAGGTGTGAGCCACCATGCCTGGACAACGGAGCCTTTTTCTTTCTCATTCATGAGGCAAATCCTGAAGTAACAAAAGCAATAACAATCAGGAAATGTCCAATTTTCTTGTTATCTCAAATGCATCTCTGTTCTCAGGAGGAACAATCCAATGTCAACCTTGCCAAGTTCCGCAAGCTCCAGCACGAGCTGGAGGAGGCCAAGGAACGGGCTGACATTGCTGAGTCCCAAGTCAACAAGCTGAGAGTGAAGAGTCGGGAGGTTCACACAAAAGTCATAAGTGAAGAGTAATTCATTCTAATGAAAGAAAATGTGACCAAAGAAATGCACGAAATGTGAAGTTCTTTGTCACTGTCCTGTATATCAAGGAAATAAAATCTTTAGATAATTTTGCATCTAAAAATACATTTGTCTCTTAATTATAAGCTCTTTAGTGCTATTAGAACTAATTCCTTTATTCAACATTTGTGGAGTTCCTAATATGTGCAATCAGAGATAATAACAAAAATGAATGTAGGCAGTGAACCCAACTTTAATGGAAGGTAAATGAAATAAGGTGCTCTGAGAAGACATGAAGGTGACAAACGCACTCTCAATTCCATTCAACCAATTTTACTGAGTATCAACTATATGTCTGGTACAGAAATGGACACGAAAGATGTGACAGTTATCCCTGTCTTTGAGAAGTTCAATCCAGTGTGGAAGACGGCAGTTCAAAAAGATATACGCTGTATGTATGTGCAACATACATACTCTGACATGAGTGTGAAAAACAAATGTGGCAATAACATAGAGTGAGCTGCTAACTTTGGAAATCCAGAAAGGCTTCTCAAAGGAGACTATGAGCTGATTCCTAAAAGAGGACCAGACAGTTATCAGGTGAAAGAGAAAAAAAATTATGATCATTCTAAGAAAAGAAAACAAGCATGAGATTTCAGCATAGTTTTAGCACAGGCTTCATGAGCAAAGGGGAGCAGATGAGGCCAGATATGGAAGATAAGGCCTGATTGTGAAGGGTATGTCCTCATATGTAGTGCTAAGGAACAAGGACACACATCAAATTGGTCCAATTTCTTGAAGAGGAGAATTGACACAATTATGGCAGCAGTATGGAGGAATGAGTAAGGTGGGAAAGATCAAAGCCTTCAAAGACTGTTTAGGAGGCTATTAAAATGGTCAAAATTAGAGATGATGGTGATGGAAATAAACAAGAATGCAGAAGGAAAGCACAGTTCTAACACAGTATAAAGAAAAGGGCTTGAAAGAATGGAAGAAGTTAAACAGTTTCACAGCATTCAAACATCCCAGTTACTTTGTGGTTACAGATTTCATTTCCTTTTGGAAGAAGTTATTTTCCTCTGAACTTTCTCCTTCTACAAGAAAAACAGAACTTTTTAGATAAATCTTTCTGTTGACCTTCTAATTCTACATACAGTTCTGCTTACTTATGAGGAATACTTCACCTAGGCCATGATGAAGATGAAGTTCTGTTTACTGTAAGGTCAACAGAAAGATTTATCCAAAAATCTAACGGTATGTAGAATTAGAAGGTCAACAGAAAGATTTATCCAAAAAGTTCTGTCCATTTTTGCTCCAGAAAAGGAGCCTGACTTTTCTCAGTATCTTGCATATTTTAAGGAGGAACCATAAAGGAAATCTAATTCTTAATTTCAAAAACAGTATTTCCAAAATTTTATCATAGCCATTGCCATAGTGTTCTTTTCTTTGATATTTTCTTAGTTTAAAATTTTGCTTCTTCCAAAAATAAGAGAATACCAATTTATTCTTTATAGTGGTGCTGTCTTTTCAAACTTAGTCTTTTCTAATGGAGGAGCTGCTTTGGGAAATCTCCTTCCCCAATGTGGGAATCCTAACTAGTAGTGAGAAGTTTGCTTCGTAAGAGGAGAATTTTAAAGGGCTAGAAAATAATTATCAGGAATACTTCACCCAGGCCATGATGAAGACTAATGAAATATCCTCCCTAGAGCAAGCATTTATTATCGCTTTTTAATTAAGCTCTGTAGAGTTAATCTACTGACCTCAAAAGCACTGGGCAATTGCTTTATTATTCTGACTCCTAACTTAAATAATTGCTTATGTAGAGAGTCAAGAGTGTATTCTATTACATATGGGTCAATTATTACGGGTTTCCTGATTAAAGGAGCAAGCATATAGAGTCACAGTTATTCTGGTCAATATTCTTCCTCATCTTCCTCACAGACTAGCTGATTTATAGACGTATTTCCTTATCTACTAAAATAAAGCCACACATAATAATCTAGGACAGCTTATAGCACTCTTCAACTTTCCTTTAATTGATACGAGGTATTAGTGAGATTTGGTGACTGTTTCTAATCTAGTGCTGCTGGATCTGAGAACCTAAACAGGATGCATGCAAGGAGAAGGCAGAGGCTGTCTCCAAGAACACACAAGTCTGAATTAGGACAAATAGAGGTAGTTTAAGTTCAATTCCTACCTGATTGTAACACTAACACTTAGTGTGACAGAAAGAAAACGAGACTGGAAAAAGACTTTGAAATGTTAAAAAAAAGCAAGGGACTTCTTCTCTAACTTACAGATAAAACTATTTAAAGTGTACACACAGAGAACTAGGCAAAGATGACCACACCCTAGTGTTTTTGGTAAGTCAAGCATCATGACGCTAATAAAACCTAAAAATCTTGGCCGGGCGTGGTGGCTCACGCCTGTAATCCCAGCACTTTTGGAGGCCGAGGCGGGTGGATCACGAGGTCAGGAGATCCAGACCATCCTGGCGAACACGGTGAAACCCTGTCTCTACTAAAAATACAAAAAAATTAGCCGGGCGTGGTGGCAGGCGCCTGTAGTCCCAGCTACTCCCGGAGGCTAAGGCAGGAGAATGGCGTGAACCCGGGAGGTGGAGCTTGCTGTGAGCCGAGATCGCGCCACTGCACTCCAGCCTGGGCAACAGAGTAAGACATCGTCTCAAAAAAAAAAAAAAAAAAAAAAAAAAAAGAATCTGTAATAAGGCCAATCCCTTTTTTTCTCTATGTTCTGAGAACTTAAAAACCATGGTTACTAGAAGCAAATTCTGTGACTGATACTGGAAATATCATAAATCTTCTTTCCACTCCATTCATAAGTGTTCAAATAACCAAACAGGTGTTAAGAATAGGAGAAATCTCAGGATCCTTCTACTCCAGAGCATTACCTCTTCTATGTGTCTTATATCCAAATCTATTAGAATCTGAATTCTTGGGACCCTAAAGGATGGTCATTTTATTTACTCTCTTATTAATCTGAAGATGTAGTAATTTCAACTAACACCCTGACTAGAGTTATTGGCCAAACAACTAAGAAAGCATCTAAGGAAAGAGGTTCCTTGAGATGTGCCTGAAGAAAAGGTAACCCTGAAGCAGGAAAAGAGGGAAGATTTTTAAATGCCCCTACAAAGGCCATTTAATCACAATTTTGCTGAAGGCTCACCCTGGGCATTAAATTCTCCAGTGTCATTCTTTATGAGTGAAGGGGTTTGTGAACCTCCCTATTAATCAATGGTTCTTAAATTTAGCAAGCACCAGAATCATCTGGAGGGCTTGTTAAAACACAGACTGCTGGGCCCCATCTCCAGAATTTCTGACTCAGTAGGTATAGACTGGAGCCAAAGAATGTGTATGTATTTCTAACAATTCCCTACGTCATGCTGATGCAGGGACCACATTCTGAAAACCACAGCTTTATATTACCATTTTTTTTCACAAAGAAATCAGATGCTGTATTCTATAGCCCCACATTTACATCTATAAATTAGGCTGCAGCTCCTCTGGGCTTGTTTCTTTAGCCATGAAATTAGGAGGTTGAGCTAAAAATAATCTCTAAAATCTAATCTAAATGTTTTTGATTCCAAGTTAGATAGCACTGGCAGTAATAATGATGCAATCATAATATCTTATATCTATAGAACCCTTTGCTTCATTTGTAAAATGCTTTTTCATGTGCAATTTGTCAGTCACTGAATTCTCACAACCATGTGAGATAACAGAATCCTTTGGAAAATGAGGTACAAAGAAGATTGTGCTTTGTCAAAAGTTGTATGACTAATAGATGCGAAAGCCAGACCTAGGGCATGATCATCTAATTCTTCCTTCTGGAAACAATACACTGTTCTGAGTTCCACCATACCCTGACAAGCAAAAGGTTCTGATGACATTCTTCCCTTACAAATAAGGTCAGTAATCTGTCATTTCACCAAAGCAGAGGCTCTTCACCCAGATATCCATGTGGCTTGCTCCTTAATGTCTTTAGGATTCTGGTCAAATTACACCTTATTAGAGAGACCTTCCCTGGCCACCCAGTATAAAAAAACAACCATTTCTCCCTACCCTGCCAGTTATGCTTCTTATCTCCTTGATTTGTTTCATATCTGTCCATGGCACCACTTAACTAGTAATTTATTTGTTTAATATCTGTCTCCTTCTGCTAAAATATAAGTTCCATAAGGGCAGGGACTTTGTTATGCTCACTGTTGAATATCTGATGAACATTGCCTGACATGTAATGGTTGCTCAAGAAATATCTGTTGGGTGAATGAATAATAAGAACTTAACCTGTGCCATGCACAGTGCTAGGTATCTTACACATACGATCCATAAGTAAATCCTAAAGCAGTGTATATTTTAACACCTTTTCCTCAGTAATTGATGGAACTACAAAAAAAATCTACAAGGAATCTTCCACTTCTAGGAAGATAGAGTATTTGTACTTTTCCCTATTCCTCTCATTAAGTACAACAAAAAAACCCTGGGCATTATACATAAAACTTACATAAGAGATTCTGGAAGATGGAGAAAAGATGGAAAAGCCAGGGACCTGATATGGTTTGGCTGTGTCCCCACCCAAATCTCATATTGAATTGTAGTTCCCATAATCCCCACGTGCCATGGGAGAGAGGTAATTGAATCATGGGGGTGGTTACTCCCATGCTGCTGTTCTTGTGATAGTGAGTGGGTTCTCATGAGATCTGATGGTTTTCTGAGGGGTTTTCCTCCTTTTGCTTAGCACTTATCCCTGCTGTCACCATGTGAAGAAGGACATGTTTGCTTCCCCTTCTGCCACAATTGTAAGTTTCCTGAGGGAAAAATGGTTTCCTGGACTGGGTCCAGGGCCCTGCTGTGTGCAGCCTTGGAACTTAGTGCCCAGTGCGCCAGTCACTCCAGCCATGGCTAAAAGGAGCCAAAGTACAGCTAAGGATGTTGCTTCAGAGGGTGCAAGCCCTAATCCTGCAGAACTGTGAGTCAATTAAACCTCTTTCCTTTATAAATTACCCAGTCTCTGATATGTCTTTATTAGCAGCATGAGGATGAACTAATACAGGACCTTAGGACCCAAAGAATGACATAAATTCCCTGAGTTTTCTTTTTGACTTATATGCCCCAGACTTGGAACTGAAGAAGCAGACAATAGAGAAACCCAAGTGGATGAAGATTTTTAAAGCCCAACAAAGGCCTTTCTCTTTAGCCAGAGGACAAAGAAACAGGCAGCCTAGCAAGACAGAAAACTTAGACAATAGCTTTTTAGACAATAGCTTCTCTAGTGGAATCAAAGAAAAGAGAATAAGACTGTGACCCCTCCCCACCCCCAGCAAAAGATGAGTGGAAAGCCTATACTTCTGCCTTTAGGAGGCTATAATAAGATGCCCAACACCTGCACTAGAGGATGATGATGCCAACCAAGCAGGAAAATGGGATTTTCATCCCTGCTGGTCAGTAATGCCCTCCTACTCTATATCAGTAGTGACAACATTGGGATCTTTGACTCCCATGCACTGGGAGTAACAAGGCACCCCTTGTCCTTCCCACCATCAGAGGAGGCCTAGAGGAAAGTCAGCACTTTCACTGTTGCTCAGTAGTAATGAGCTTACCCCCATGCAACAGTAATGAAAAGATACTCCCCATTCAAGTGCTAACAGAAGGGAAACTGGACTTTCAACTCTATCTGGAAGCAGTAAGGTAGCATCACCAGCCCTGCTTCCTGTATTAGTCTGTTCTCACATTGCTGATAAAGGCATACCCAAGACTGGATAATTCATAAAGGAAAGAGGTTTAACTGACTCACAGTTCCACGTGGCTGGGGAGGCCTCACAATCATGGCAGAAGGCAAATGAGGAGCAAAGTCATGTCTTACATGGCAGCAGGCAAGACAGTTTGTGCAGAGCAACTCCCATTTATAAAAACCATCAGATCTCATGAGACTTATTCACTACCACAAGAACAGTATGGGGGAAACCAACCCCATGATTCAATTATCTCCACCTGGCCCTGACCTTGACATGTGGGGATTATTACAATTCAAAGTGAGATTTGAGTGGGGACACAGCAAACCATATCACTTCCCTTATTAGAGAAGTGTAATAGAAAGCCAATTAAAGGGTTTAAATAAGATCCAGATTCCAAGAACAGTACAAAAATGCCCAAGTTTCAACTGAAAATCACTCATTATGCCAAGAAAATCTCACACTGAATGAAAAGAAGATAAATGAGTTAAAAAAGCCAAAACCAAGATGATAGAGATGTTAAATTATCTGACAAAGATTTTAAAACAGACATAACAAAAGTGCTTCAAAGAGCAACTATGAACATGCTTGAAACAAATGGAAAAACAGAAAGCCTCAGCAAATAAAAAGAAGACGTTTAAAAAAGTGGAAATTTTAGAACAGAAAAATACAATAACTGAATTAAAAAGCTCAGTGGGTGGGCTCAACAGGAAAAAGAAGAGGACAGAGAAATCAGTGAGTTGGAATAAGAATAATCGAAATAATCCAACCTGAACAACTGAAAGCAGTAGATGAAAAAAATAGTAGACAGAACCTTAAAACAAATGATCTAACACTCATTAAAGTGCTAGAAGAAGAGGGTGGGGCTGAAAAGTACTTAAAGAAATAATGGCTGAAAACTTACAAATTTGCTAGGAAACATAAACCTACAGATTCAAGAAGGAGTTTATCTACACAAGATAAACTCAAAGAAATCGACACCCAGGCATATCATTAACTTCTAAATACTAAAAGTAAAGCAAAATCTTAGAAGCAGCCAGAGAAAAATGACATCTTGCCTATAGGAGAAAAACAGTTTAGATGACAGGGGATTTCTCATCAGAAATCATGAAGGACAGAAATAAATGGTACAATATTTTTCAGTAGCTGAAAAAAAAAGTCAACCCAGAATCTTATGTCCAGAAAAAATAAGCTCCAGGAATGAAAGGGAGATCAAGACATTCTTAGATTAAGACTATTTTAAGTCTTAAACCTAAGTCTTAGATCAAGACTATGAGAATTGTCACCAGCAGACCTACCCTAAAAGAATGGCTAAAGGAAAGTCTCTAAGCAGAAAGGAAAAAAGTGAATAAAGAAACCCTAGAACATCAAAGAGGAAAAAAATATATAAGCAAAAATAAAAGTAGGTATAAAAGGTTTTTTGTTCTTGAGTTTCCTAAATTATGTCTGATGATTGAAACAAAAATTATATCACCTTCTGGTGTGGTTCTAAAAGTATACAGAGGAAATATTTAAGACAATTACAAACTGGGAGGGTAAAAGGACTTCCAGGGAGGTAAAATTTCTATGTTTCACTTGAACTGATAACATGACAACAGAAGACAGTGATGAGACACACATAATGTAATACCTAAAGCAAACTACTAAAAATGACATACAAAGAAACACACACACACATACACACACGTGCTATAAGGAGGATTGACTTCCAGCATGACAGCATGAGGAGCTCCACCGATCCTCTTCCCAGTGAAATAGGTGAAAATTATCTTAAACAAAACAACATTTAAAGTCTCTGTAAATGGTTCTAAAGAAACAGAAAAGGAAAAAACATCTATCAAGAAAATCCATGCAAATTCAGTAAGAAAGGAAAGGTTCTGTGGTATTGAACCAAAATCACTTCCTGCCTCTTACCATCCCAGCACAGAGAGGTGGGACTCCACTCCAGATTGCTACAGCCAACCACAGGATTTCCTTTCCCTCGAGCTCCCAGTCAGAGGGCTTTCTTTCTAAAAAGCACAAGACATTAATATTTTTCATCTACCTCCAGCTACCCGTTTCTGAGGCTAAGACCCGAGCAAATGTGATTGAAAGGCTTAGGCTCTCTTTTCTGCCCAGCTACCACTCAGGGAACAGAAGCTCTACCCCGGGTGCTGAGAATATTGGGGCCCTGATCACCCTTGACCTGACTTATGAGGTGGAGGTTCCACACCAGGAGAGACAAGCCAAGCGGGCCTTAGGCTGCTGCTCATCCCCACCAAGTGCTCAGTTCCCAGAATGGAGGTGTCAATCAGAAGATTAAAATTGTCTCCACCACCAGCTCCAAAGCCCTGGCTCGGATTTTGCCTGAGGGGAGAAGTGAGTCATAAAACAGAGCTCCTAATCTTTGCCCAAAGGAACTGATTTCATTTGCAACAGAAGGCAGAGAAATTAAAACCCAAGTGCACTTTCAACAACAGGGCACATTGTGGTAAAAACAAATTGCCATGCAATTAAAGATATAGGCTAAACTGTATGCCAGCTAGTTTTTAGGAGAGAACCAGGTAATAAGATAGCTGGGAGAAGTCCCCCTGGGATCAAAACAAATATTAAACACTGACCTCAGAAATTATGTTTTCAAAGGAGGCAGAATTTGATTGGATTAGTTCATAGAACAATTTATGCCCAAAGGAATTATTAAAATCAATAAAGCTATCGGCCACCAAGTAGTGGAGTTTGACATCTGGGTGTGGTCAGAGAAAGAGAGGAAGAGAGCCCTCTCAAAACCACTGTCATCACAGGGTGGCTGTGGGCATACCAAAGCTGCACCTCCCTGAGGAGCAATATCAGAAGCTTTAAACTGTGGGTGGGAAACAAACTTCACTAAAATAAACCAGCCAGTTAAAAACAAATATTCTTGTGCTGACAAGAATAAGTTCCAGTGTTTGATAACAAAGGAGGCTGACTCTAATTAACAACAGTATACTGTATATTTCAAAATAGCTAGAATAAAAAAATGGAAATGTTCCTAATGCAAAGAAATGATAAATATTTGAGGTGATGGATATCCCAAATACCTTGACTGGATCATCACACAGTGTATTCGTGTATCAAAATATCACATGTACTCCATAAATATGTAAAAATATTATGCACTAATTTTAAAAATAAAATTTTTAAAAATAATAAAGGTAATAAAGAAATTGTTTAATAACAAATAAGTAAGAAAATAAAACTGACGATCCCTGGAGAGGGCAACACTACCCAAGGTTGCTATAATACATTATCTAAAATGTCCAGTTTCCAACAAAAAATTATGATACCTGCAAAGAAATAAGAGAGCATAATCCATACGCTGAAAAAAGCAGGCAACAGAAACTGCTTGTGACAGCAATCAATGTTGAATTTAACAGAAAAAGATATCAAACTAGTTATCATAAACATTTTCACAAAAATAAAGAGAATATGATGAAAGATGTAAAGGAAGGCATAATGACAATGTCAGATCAAATAATGTCTATCAATAAAAACGTAGAAATTACTTTAAAAAAAACAGAATTGTCGAGTTGAAAGTATAATAAATGAAATTTTAAAATTCACTAGAGGAGCTCAACAGGAAATTTGAACTGGCAGAAGAAAGAATAAGTGAATTTGAAGAGAGATTGATAAAGCTTATGAAAGCCAAAGAACAGTGAGGGAAAAAAGAATAATAAAAAATGAAAGAGCCTCAAAGAAATGTAGGACACAATGAAGTACACCGATATATACACAGTGAGAATACCAGAAGGAGAGGACAAAGAGAAAGGAGCAGAAAAAATATTCAAATGTATAACGGATGAAAACTCCCTGAATTTATTGAAAAACAATTATCTATACATCCAGATAACTCGATGAACACCAACTAGGATACATGCAAATAGATCTATAGATACATCATAGTAAAAATGCTGAAAATTAAAGACAGGGAGAAAATCTTGAAAGCAGTGAGAGAAAAATGACTCATTACTTGTAAGAGAACAGTATGATTAACAGCTGACTTCTCAGCCAAAATAATAGAGGCCAGGAGAAATAACATATTCAAAGTGGTCAAAGACACACACACACACACACACACACACACACACACACACACACACACATCAACCAAAAAATCTTATATCCAGCAAATCTATCTTTCAAAAGTGAAGGTGAAATAAACAGTTTCCCAGATAAAAACTGAGAGTATTTGCTGATAGCAAACCTGCTTGATAAGAAATACTAAAGGAAATTCTTCAAGCTGATGGCAAGTAACTCCAGACAGGAATTCATATCCACACAAAAAAAGGAGTACCAGAAAATGTAAGTATGTAATTACAAGACAGTATAAATGCATATTTTTTTCTCCTTTCTTCTCTTAACTGACTTAAAAAGCAATTGTATAAAATAATACATATACATTGTATGGTTGGGCCTGTAACATAAAGAAATGTAATATATGTGTAACATACTTGCCAATACAGCATAAAGGAGTTGTGTGGGAACAAAGCTGTATTGGGCTAAGGAAATGACTATAAATAGTAAAATAATAACTTTAACAATGTACTGCTGGGTTTGTAACATTAAAAGCTACAGGTAACAGTAATATGACAAAAATGGGGAAAAATGGAGTAGAGCTATGTAGAAGTAACTTTTCTATATGTCGCTAGAATAAAACTAGTATGAATCTGAAACTGGTTCTGATAAGTTAAGGTTTACAGTATATGGTAAACTCTAGGGTATCTATTAAAAAAATACAGTGAAAGGAGTGGGCATGGTGGCTCATGCCTGTAATCCCAGCATGTTAGAAGGCCAATGCGGGAGGGTTGCTGGAAGCCAGGAGTTCAAGACCAGCATAGGAAATAAAGTGAGAACCCATCTCTATAGAAAAATTTCAAAATAAAATAAAAATATAGTGAAAGAATTACTAAAAAGTTAAAATGCTACATTAGAAAATTTTCAATGCAAAAGGAAGCAGTAAGAAAGAAAAGTGGAACAAAAAAGGCATGGGACATACAAGAAATAATTACAACTATACCAATAACAGCACTAAATGTGAATCAATGTGAATGTGAATTAAGCAGTCCAATCAAAAGCCAGAGATTGTCATAATGTATAAAAATATATGGTCAAACTATGTGCTGTCTACAGAAGCCACAAATATAAGTAAAAAGATGAAAAAATACATTATCTTGCAAACAGGAACCATAATAAAATGGAATGGCTATACTGATAGGAGACAAAACAGACTTAAAAAAAAGTTACCAGAGATAAGGAGAAACATTTTATAATGAAAAAATAATAAAAGGATAAGCCCATCAGGAAGACATAATACTTATACATATATTTGCGCCTAATAGCAGAGGCACCAAAACATATGAATCAAAAACTGACAGAAATAAAGGGAGAAACTGACAATTCCACAATAATGATTGAAGATGTCAATAACCCACTTTCAATAATGGATGTAACAATTAATGAAGATCAATAAGAAAAAAAGGAAGACTTGAAAAACACTATAAACCAAATAGACCTAACAGATATCTATAGAACACACCACCCAGTAACAACAGAATATACATCCTTCTCAAGTTCAAATGTAACATTCTCCAGGACAGACCACATGCTAGGCTATAAAACAAACTTCAGTAAACTTAGAAGGATAGGCATGATACAAAGTATGTTCTCTGACCACAATGGAATGAAATTAGAAATCAATACTAGGAAAAAAATTGAGACAATCACAGATTTGTGGAAATTAAACAACACACTCCTAAATAATCATGTGTCAAAGAAAAAATCGAAAGGGAAACCAGAAAGTACTCTGAGATGAATGAACATGAAGATACAATATACAATATACAAAAACATATGGGATGCAGCTAAAGCAGTGCTTAGACAGAACTTTACAGTTGTAAATGTCTATATAAAGAGAGAAGAAAGAGCTCAAATAATAACCTAATTTTCCACCTAAGGCACAGCAGGTGGGAAAAACAAATGAAATCTAAAGCAAGTAGAAGAAAGGACATAATAGAGGCTAGAGGAGAAATTAATGAAATCGAGAATAGAAAAACAATATAGAAAATTATAGTCCAATATCCCTAATAGATGCAAAAATCCTTAACAAAATTTTGGCAAGTCAAATCCAACAACGTCTAACAATACAATCGTGTGTTGCTTACCAATGGGGATATGTTCTGAAATATGCATCATTAGACAATTTCCTCATTGTACAAATATCACAGAGTGTACTTACACAAACCTAGACAGTATAGCCTACTACACACCTGGGCTATGTGGTATAGCCTACTGCTCCTAGACTACAAACCTGGACAGTATGTTGCCGTACAGAATACTGTAGGTAACTGTAGCAGAATGGTATTTGTGTATCTAAACATATCTAAATATAGAAAAGGTACAGGAAAAATACAGTATTATAATCTTATGGGACCACCATAATACATGCAGTCCGCTGTCAACCAAAATGTCATTATGCAGTGCCTACTATATATGAAAACAATATTAACAACAACAATAATAATAATAAATCATGACCAAATGGAATTTATCACAGGAATGCAAGGTAGGTTTAATATTCAAAAATCAGGTAATTCATAACATTCACAGAATAAAAAAGAAAATCATATAACTATCTCAACAGATGAAGTAAAGCATTTGACAATATCCAACACCCATCCATGAAAAAAAAACCTCTCAGCAAACAAGCAATAAAAGAAAACTTTCTCAATCTAGTAAGAGGCACCTACAAATAAAGCACAGCTAAGATATCTTGCTTAATAATAAAACAGTGAACACTTTCTGTCAAAAAATGGGACTAAAAGAGAGAGGAGAGAGAGAGACACCATGTTCTTGGACTGAAGTCTCAATATTGTAAATCTGTCAGTTTTCCACAAATTGATCTATAGTTTTAGTGTAACCCTAATCAAAATCCTATCAAGCTTTTTTTTTTGGTAGAAGTTGGCAGTTTGATATTAAAATGCATATAAGTATATAAAGTACCTACAGTAGCCAAAGAAGTCTTAAAAAGTAAGTAGTATAAAATTGGAGAACTTACTCTACAGACTTTAAAATTTATTACAAAGCTACAGTAATTAAGATAGTGTGGTATTAGTGTAAGGGTAGAAGAATACTTGAATGGAACAGAATAGAGTAGAATGGAGAGTCTGGAAATAGATCCAATATGTATATAGTGGACTTTTTACTAAGTTGCTAATGCAATTCAATGTGGAAAGAAAAGTCTCTGCAACAAATGATGATGGATCAATTAGACATCTGTATGGAAAAAAATAATAACGCATACACAACAATTAATTCAAGGTAGACAACAGATTTAAATGTAAATACTAAAATTATACATCTCCTAGAAGAAAATATAGGAGAGTATCTTTGTAATCTCGTGCAAAATTTCTTAAACAGAACACAGCAAGCACTAAATATGAAAGAAAAAATGATAAAACTGGTCCTCTTCAAAGTTAAAGCTACTGCTCATCAAAGTACTGTTAAGAACACAAAAAGGCAAGCCACCTACTAAAAAAAATATATGCAATACATATACTGAAAAAATGACTTATAAAGAACACAAACAAAACAATATTCTTTAAAAATAATCCAACAAAAATGGGCAAAACACAGACATTTCATCAAGAGAATATATGAAAGCTTAATAACAAAACTAAAAGTTGCTCAATATCATTGTCTAGGGACATACATTTTAAAACCACAAAGAGATTCCACTACAAACCAACAAGAATGGCTAAATTTATAAAGACTAATGACACTGAGCAACCACATTGCTCATATATCACTAGCGAGGATGTAAAACAGTACAGTTACTAGACACCTACCTCTTGATCCAACAATTCCACTCCTTGTTATTTAACTGAAAGAAATGAAAGATATGTCTATAAAAAGATAAAAAATATATACCAGCAAGAGAACAGATGAATAAAATATGGTACATCCTCACAACGGAGTACTACTCCCCAATAAAAAGAAATGAACTACTGATACATGCAAGAATGTGGATGAATCTAAATAACATTCCTCTTTGGCATGAGTCATATGAAAGGTCAGTTGTTTCCTTTGGTTGAAGAGAATATAATTACAGAGTTTTAGAAAAGGTAGAGATGTCTTAAAGTGGCTGTAATTCATCTGCTTTTACTCACTGCAGAGAGAAAATAGAGGAACTCTTAGGGCAGAGGAAATCTTAGGAATTGTAAGCTAATTTCTGGCAAGGACTCTTAGAGCAGAAGGGTCATTGGATACGGTAACTTAATGTTCACCCTCGGCTTAATTGTAAGTGGATACTAGCGAAGAAGAGCAAGGACAAGGGATGTAAGCCAGACCCTTGGAAGGGCCTTTACTCTAAGTTAAAATAAATGAGTTGTCACACAAGAATGGTAGAAGAGATATCTGTACATTACAGAAGGGTTGAAATATACCAATAATTAGGCTTTAGCAAAATATATCTCCCAGTTTAGTATTCTTATATATGTTACCTATAAAAACTCTTTACTTCATTGTTTATTGTTATTTTAAATAAGATTTTCAGTTTTCAGTATATCTCAAAGAGAACCAGTGGAAAATGCATTATGCTGATCCAAATCTTAGATTAAGGCGAGTTTCAAGTTTCAACCACTGACCACATCATCGGAGCACCACCACTTAACAGGTGGCCACTTAATTAACTTACAAGTAACTGAATTGACAGTTGTTTCCAAAATTTTGCTATTAGAAGAAATGTTAAATGTACACTCTTGAGCATCCTTCCTATTTCAGTGTGCTTCTGCAGGAAAGAAAGTGAGAAGTGAAATCACTGCAATTTTAAATTTCAAAAGATATAACAAATTGCCCTGGAAATTTACACCTTTACTCACAACATATTACATTCACCTCTCTGCACCACCATTTGCTACCATTATTATTTTTTTTTTGCCAACTTGATGGGTAAAATACACTAGCTCTTTGTTATTTTATTTTGTACCTCTTGAGATTGAGCATGTTTTCATGTTTATTAGCCATATGTATTGCCTCTTCCATGAATTATCTATTTCTATCTTTTGGCTATTTTTTCCTACTTGCTTGTATCTCCCTTTCTTTTCTATTTGAAAGAGATGTGTGTGTGTGTGTGTGTGTGTGTGTGTGTGTGTGTGTGTGTGTGTGTGTGTTGAATATAACTTCTTTATTTAAGTTGCTAATAGTTTGTCCAAGCCTGCCACTTGTCTTTCAATTTGTTTGTGTAGATTTTTTTAATCATTGAGAAGTTTTACATTTTGATGTGGTCAAATGTCTGATCTTTTTGCCTTATTAAAGATCTCCCCCTACTCCGACAGTATCAATATATTCTCCTATAATTTCTTCAATACTTCTTTGTTTTTATGCCTAAGATGTTAATTCATCTAGAACTTATTTTTATAAATGGTGTCAGCCAAGGAAGTAATTTAATTTTTTTTCAAATTGTTAAGTCTCAATTTTAATTCACTGAATTGTTCTTCCCTTCCTCTAGTGAATCAGAAATGCACCTTTATCTTATACTAACTTGCTATACATACAAGAGTCCATTTCTGGACTATATTATGTTCTACTCTTATACTTATCTACATTAATTATATATTGTTTTAATCCCATATTTTAAAGATGTGTTTTGATGTCAAGTAGGATGGCCTGTTAATTCATTGGGTGGTAAAAGCTTTTTATTCCTGGAAACTTGCTTTCTTTTACTTAGAACTCCACTACTGCAATTCTCCAACCAGAATAGATGCAATATCTTTTGTCTGCTATTTCCCAGTCTGGCCATTTCTTATAATATCCAACATCCATTCCTGGAAAACAAACCAATAAAAACAAATGTCTGAACAACAACTTATGTGGAATGTTAATAACAGCATTATTTATAAAAGCCAAAAGCTAGGAAGAATTCAAATGTCCATCAACTGGTTAATGGATAAACAAAATGTGGTACCTCTAGACAATGGACTACCACATATACATTCATAAAAAGAAATGAATTACTGACACATAAAACAGCATATAGATGAAATTCAAAAAATTGAATTTCCTTCTAGGATACGAACACACAACAACCAAACACACTCACAAAAGATAAAAAGTTAATAGCTAGATAAAATCTGCCTCCCCAGCAACCAACTTTCTACACCTGGAAGTTTAAAAAATAAAATAATTTGGGAGTTGAAATGAAAATGCTAAGGGAAAGAAGCCAGACACGAAAAATTGCCTATTGTAGGATTCCATTTCTATACGATTTCTTAAGAAGGCAAAATTGTAGAGACAAAAAGCACATCAGTGGTTCCCCAAGGTTTGGGGTTGAATGGGAATTAACAGCAAATGAGCAAAAGGAAACTTTTTGGATTGATAAAAGTATTCTAAAACTAGATTGTGGTGATGACTGCACAATTTTATAAGTTTACTAAAATTCATTAACTGTATAATTAAAATGGATGACATTTAAGGTATGTAAAATTCTACCTAAATAAAGATGTTTAAAAAAAATACCCTGATCTATGAACAAAGCCACAAAAGAAATGTCAACTAATTCTAAAATGAGATATCATACAGGTGACAGTCACTGTTCATCATGCAATCAATCAATCAATAAACTACAGCCAAAAACTGGGAACAACCCAAAAATTTGTCTGCAGTAGAATGAATAAATAATCATATTATCAGACAAGGTAATACTGTACACAATGAATATAAAACACAGTTACATGCAACTTCATGGAAAAATCTCACAACAATAATTTTGGGCAAAAGAAGTAAGATACTAAAAAATAAATTCAGTTGTATTCACATGAAGTTCAAAACCAGCAAAACTAAACTAGGGATGCATATACAAATTTTAAAACATTAAGAAATGCAGAGAAATAATTATCATAAAAATAAATTCATAGTAACCTTTTAAGGAAGGAAAATATGAGTTATAATACAGAAGATCATGAGAGTTTCGTGGGGTATTGGATACTATTTGAATTGTTTTATGACTTACATCCACACACACAAACACAATCACAGGAACCATAATCCTCATTCCCATTGGGCGTACTAGGATATGAACACACCACAACCACACACACTCACAAAAGATAAAAATAATTAACGGCTAGATGAAATCCGCCTGCCCAACACCCAAATTCATACACCTGGAAGTTTAAAAAACAAAATGCTTTAAATAATTTGGGAGTTGAAACAAGAATCAAAATTTTAAACTAATTATAATTAATCAAAACAAATCTAAGGAAATAAAGCAATTGATAAAACTAAAAGAAAATAATAAGCTAGAAAATAAAAGCTATCAGTAAAACTAAATGAAAAAGATAAAACTTTGGCAAATATGATTTAAAATAAAAAGAAGAACAAAATTAATATAAATAATGAAACAGATTACTAAACTGAGATTTTTTATTATAGAGATATGCACAAAAAAGACCCAAAAATATAAAAACTCACACAAAATAAGTAATTTTATAGGAAAATATAAATCATCCAAATGGGCCAAAAGACAAGTAGAAACTCTACAAAGACTAATCAATAATCATAAAAAAAACTCAATAAGAGTAAAAAAATTATATTCCACAAAGGCTAGAGGTCAAAAGAATTCCATGGAGGAACTCTATCAAACCATCATGGAACAGATAATTCACATCTCAAACGCAATGTTATAGAAAACACAAACAAATGGGAAGCTGCTCAGTTTATTTTACAAGACTAATATGATCCTAATATCAAAACAAGAAAATGATAGCACAAGAAAACTTTGACCTAGTCATATATGAACTCAGATTTTAAAATTCCAATAAAAAATTCGAAAACTGAAAGCAGCAGAGAATTAAACAATATTATATCAATAGCTTTTATTTCATGAATTCTAGGGTGGTAAAGGTGAGAAAAACCTACCATATAATTCACTCCATTGATAGGTCAGGGGAGAAAAACAGTAATCTCAACAGATATAAAAAATTTGGTAAAATTCAACCCATTATTTGTAGACATAATTTACATACCATAAAATTCACAATTTAAAGTGTATAATTCAGTGGTTTTTATTAGATTCACAAAGTTATGCAACCATCACTATTAATTCCAGAATGTTTTCATCACCCCAAAAAGAAACTCCATGTCCATTTTCAGTCACTCCCCAATTCTCTTCTCTCCACATCCTCTGGCAATCACTAATGTATTTTCTTTCTCTATGGATTTGCCTATTCTGGGCATTTTAGATCTACAGAATCATCAAATATGGGCCCTTTGTGTCAGGCTTCTTTCACTTAACATAATATTTTTAGGTTCACCCATATAGTAGCATCTAACTTCACTCCTTTTTATGGCTGAATAATATTTCATTGCATTAATAGAGTCCATTATAGGATAAACAGGATTTTGCTTATCTACCTGTTGCCCGATGGACATCTGATTGTTCCCACTTTTTGGCTATTATAGATAATGTTGCTATAAACTTTATGTACAAGTTTTTATATAAACATGTTTTCAATTCTCTCGGGCATATACCTAGAAATAGAACTATTTAACTCATTTTTATGATCAAAATGATTAGCAAACTAGATACAAAGTATACAGTAAATATTATGTTTGGTGAAACATCAGATGCAATCCAATAAAAGTCAAGAACAAGATAAGGATGCCCTTATCTTGCACAGGATATGTACACAAGTATCTCTGTATTAATACTATATTAATACTATTCAACACTGTCCTAAATGTCATAGACAATGTAATAAGAGAAGGGAAAAAAATAACATATAAATGACAAGAGAAAGAAGACACAAATTGTGATTATTTGCGCATGACACATTGAAAATCCAAGAGCATCAAATAAATTATTAGAGGTGGTAAGAGAGTTCGGCAAGAGGGCCAGATAACGGTTAACACAGAAAAGTCAGTAACTTTCTGAAACGCCGTGTATGTTAGGGATTGTGTTTGAATGTAACAAAAAAAACCTGAGTAAACAATGCCTCAAAAAATTAGTGCTTTACTTTTTTCTTCACACAATGAAATTCAGCTCACAGGTGTCAAGGCTAAGGTCTCCAAAAATCTCTTGACCTTTCTTTTAAGGCTATAGTTCTAGCCATTACATCTGTGTTCTACGTAGGAGAAAGATAGAGATAGGAAAGAAAAAGGTAGTATGAGCAAAGTCTACCCTCTTTTAGAAAAGAGCTTTTCTGGAAGCTCCACCCAGCAACTTCTGCTTGCATTTCATTAGCCAAAACAGTGTCATATGGTTACCCTATGCTGAGAGTCTGAATATAATAATATATAGTTTGGCATACTACTGCCACAAACAAAAGTGAAGCTCTGATTATGCAAACTTGTCTGCCACGTGCCAGTAGTAACCAAGTAGAAAGTGTAATAGAAAAAATAATCCTATTCAACATATCAACAGAAAACTCTAAAATTTGTAGGAATACACCGAACAAGGAATATAAGATCATTATGGAAAAAACTTTTAAAAATGACTAAAAAGTATTTTTGAAAAGGACTTGGAATAAACAGGAAAATATATCATCCTTATAAACTGAAAGACTCACTTTTATAAAGCTATCAACTCTTATCAAATTAATCTATTAAATCAATTTAATCAAAATCAAAATCCCAATAGAATTTTCCATAACCTGAAGAACATGATTCTAAAACTCATATAGTAGAAGGTAAAAATTAACAGGACAACTTTGAATAATTAGGGAAAATTGGCCCTACTGGTCATCAAAACCTATGCTATTGGCATAGAAATACGGTACAAAATATGGAATCCAGAAACAGATTACATGCACACGAACACACACACAGCTGGATTACAAATCTCACTATTTTTTAAGCATCAGATTGAAAATACAGGATTACACATCTCACTATTTCATAAGCATTAGCTTGAAAATACAGAAGAATATATGTATGACTCTGAGTTCTTGAGTTAGAGAAAGTTTTTCTTATACAATACACACAAAAAACCAAAAATATAAAAGAAAATTTTTTATAACTCTGACTACCTAAAGATGTAAAACTTCTAGAAGATTGAGATCGCATAGTAAAGATCATTATTAAATCAGGAGAAACTTTTTAGAACTTGTATAAACAAAATTATTACAATCTTAAACCTACGGAATTTTACACAGAAATTTAAAAATGAGTAATATCAAAATAATCCAGTGATAGAGGGAATGGTGAGAATATATAAGAAACAAGACTGACCATGAACTGATAATTATCAGTGCTGGATGATGAATATACTAGGTTCATTATGCTATCCCCTCTACTTTTGCATATGTTTGAAATGTTTTCATATTATTATTTATGTACTAACATGGCAAATGATCCAAGAGTGTAGAATGAAAAAAGAAAGTTTGTAAATAAATAATCATACTATCTATATTTTAAACATCTATATTATATATTATAAATTTTCTATGGCCCAATTTCCTTAGACCAGTTTTACTAATTTATATTTTCCCAGAAAATACATATGTAAATGTACAGAAAAGGTCTGCAATATTACAAACTAAACGGGTATCCGTAGTTACCTTGGGAGAAAAGGGAGATACCAGCATTGTGAGTGTTCATCAAAGGGAAAATTTAGCCTAATCTCTAAGGCTTTAATTTTTATGTAATTACAGTGTAAGAGGTTACACACCTGCATATATTTATCAAACCCATAGGCCTGGAATTGTTCTGCATCCTATCTGTGGTGGTGGCTACATGAATCAATACGTGTATAAAAACTCATACAATCATACAACAAAAGAAGTAAATTTTATTATAAAGTTTAAAAATTTTTAAAAATAAAAGCAAAAAACCTCATAAAACTGTCACTTTAAAAGGGTGAATTTGACTCTATGTAAATTATACCTCAATATATCTGACCTTAAAAAAAGGAAAGAGTTTAATTAAAAAAAATCATAATTTATTTAAAGAATAGGGTATAAATTACATTAGTGATATGATATATTAATTATTAAAGCATATTACAAGGCACACATGTACTATATATGCATCTATAATATGATCCCACTTATACGCCTCTATCTTATTTCTGCATTAGAGATTACAGAGACTTTTTTTACTTACCTGTATTTTTTTCTGTAATAAACATATTATTTTCTACTAATAATGTTTTTCAAAGTTAGATGAGTGGGCACTGGCCCAATGGTGGAGACTCAAGGTAGAATCTCTGCTGTCTAAGCCTGGACTTCAAGAGTGAGCATCTGTAGTGGCCCAAGGGAATGCAGTGGGGGGTTCCCGTGGTAGCAAATAAGGAAACGTGCTTAAGGCCCTGACAGCCGTGTGCCCCGGGTATCTGATCATTTGGCTACCACAGGCGTGCATGAAAGAGTTTGCCAAATTGAATATAGCTCTTAAGAACTTACTCTGAGGCCCCATCAGGCACTGTCAAAGATTCCCTTCCCAGCACACTAGAAAGCATTCTCTGCTGGCAGATCGGTCTCTGTCAAATTATTTATAGGAGATTGGTTTGCATACACAAAATGATATGAATACTTCTAATTATATCCAAACATGACAAATGTCACTACAAACTATGCTGAGGGTTCATGTTGCCAAATGTCTTGCCCTAACAAAGAGGAGGTAGTTGCAGCATCAGCACATTAGTTCCTATATAAGCAGGACTGCCCCTTGTGCCTTATTTCCACCAAGAACCCAGAGGTAAGTGATGAAGGCCTTGGAACTCGAAAAACCCCAGGTGGGGAAAAGAGCTGACCTCGTAGTTATCTGTGAGCATTAAACTGCTCTCTCAATCTTAACTTTTGTCTTCATAGAACCAAGCTTTGGGGTAGGGAAACTTCAATTCTGTAACTATAATAACAATTCTGTAACTATAATATTGGAATTTCGGAGCATCACTAATAAGAAGCTTGTTGTTTTACAGAGTGGAACACTTCTGAACCTGCATTTTTATCTGGAACTCCAGAGGTAAGACTTGGCTTTATTAATTTATTGATGACAGAGGGGATATAGTCTAATGAAGCTGTGAACAATCCTGAATTATACACCATTTCCATGTTTTTGCAGTTATATCAGGAAAGAGTGTTTCCGAGTGAGTGTTTATAAATGCTAGAAAATAACTTTTTCAAAATGTCTTCTTCTCAGAGACTATCCTCATTTGGGTTCCAAGATTCAAAGACCGTTTAGGACAGAATTAGCTTCAACAGTGAGTTCTCAGCTGTGCTTAGAACTGTCCAGTGGCAATAGACTAGTCCATGCCAGTCTTCTTCTATGGCAAAGCATTGAGGACTTAGGACATTTTATAGACATTTTTAAAGACTCCAGAAAGATTTTTACCTAGAAATATAAATATAAATATTTTAGCTACCTTTGATTATTTGTTATTTGTTGTTAGAAAGACTTATTATTATTTACTTAACAGGTCGCAAGTATTACATCCACCGGGTGTTAAATACCATGACTAATTTAAGAGGAATCCTGCCCTTCCCTAAGTAACTTTCTAATTGAAAATAAAGGAAAAACTCAACCAATCTAACATGTCCACATTGCAGAGGCCTATCTATTAATCAGAAGACAATGGCTTACATGCATGTGATGTACTCTTAAAACTTTTTTCTCTGTTTTCTGGGTGGAAAGAAAAGAAACCCATGGAATTTATGTGGGAAGAAGGGCCTTTGTGCTGAAGCTCTCATTCCTCTGTGGTTAGATCTGTTAACTGACAGCTGAAATCTCTCATGTCAAAAAAGATTTTGGAATCAAGGCAATGCTAAGTCTGTTGGGAACAACCCAAATTACAAAAAATCCAGAGTATTAGAATGTATTATGTTCTTCTAACAATCCACTGAGAGATACAACACCAAATATCAACATAAAGATGTTAAAAATAATTATTTGCTTTATGAGAGAAAATGGCCATCTTAAAAGGCAAAGATTTTTTGATAGCTTTGAAAATATGAACCTTCATTTGAACAAGACAAACTTTCTTTTCTCACCATATGATTGTCCTGGCATATGGCATAGACAAACATTATGCAGAAAGAGGAGAGGAAATTAAATAATGACAGTTGCTATAAAACAATCCATCAATAGTTTTAGCTGTAGAGGTTTCATTCTAATTCAATTGTAGGTACCCTATCCCTGAGGATCAAGATATGTGATCTGAAAAGGAAATTCACAGTCCTAAAAATGAAATCTCAAATTACAGTCTCACTCCATACTTGTCCTTTAGACTATGTTAGAACACTGGGGAGTGCCAGTTTGGAGGAATAGTTACAGCACAGGCTATGTTCAACATTTCTTTCATTTCAAATCCTAACTCACATTTGTGACTTCTGCTTTTTATATCTCTCTCTCCCGTTTCTCTCCTCCCTAGGCAGAATCCTTTGCTAAATAAATCGCAGCCATGAGTGCGAGCTCAGACGCTGAGATGGCTGTTTTTGGCGAAGCTGCTCCCTACCTTCGAAAATCAGAAAAGGAGCGGATTGAGGCCCAAAACAAGCCGTTTGATGCTAAAACATCTGTCTTTGTGGCGGAGCCCAAGGAATCCTATGTGAAGAGCACTATACAAAGCAAAGAAGGAGGGAAAGTAACCGTAAAGACTGAAGGTGGAGCAGTAAGTGAAAACAGGGAGAAAATACTCCCCATTTTATTTCTTGGTTCAAAAGTTGAAGCCTAACTTACTGGGAATCTCCAAGCCTGTTGCCAATGCAAACACCCTTCTAGTCAGTGTTGAGACATTAGATGTGGAAGGCAAAAGAAATTCACAGCAGTACCTTCATGTCTTCCCTTCCCAACTTCGCACAGGACCTCACCCCACTATGTATGGCCTTCACCATTTCCCTTCAATTCCCCACTTCCTAGTCTGAATGTCCAAACTTGAGGGAAATGAAAACAAGCTCCTCCTATCAGAAGTTAAATATTTACTTAGTTAAATAATGTATTAATATCCCCATTACTTCCAAAAACATGAAGTTTCTTAATGAATGAAAGAAAAAAATAAAAATTTAGCCTACTAAAATAAGAAAAAAAGGATATAAACTGATAAATCTGGGATAAGAGAATGTGGGAGGAAAAAATCTTTTAAAAAGATAGTGTCCTAGCTCATCATAGGAAACAGGTTTTCTTAACATTAAACTCTGAAATGAATATATTTCATGCCTTTTTTAAGAGGACATTAAATAATATAATGAGAAGTATGTGTGATTATAGTTTTGTACCAAAATATACAGGCAAACATAAACCCTACCTCCAACCATTAAAACGAACTGGTCTTAGCCAGGCGCAGTGGCTCACGCCTGTAATCCCAGCACTTTGGGAGGCTGAGGCAGGTGGATCACCTGAGATCAGGAGTTCGAGACCAGCCTGGCCAACATGGCGAAATCCTGTCTCTACTAAAAATACAAAAATTAGCTGGGCATGGTGATGGGCACTTGCAATCCCAGCTACTCAGAAGGCTGAGGCAGGACAATCACTTGAAGCAGGAGGGCGGAGGTTGCAGTGAGCTGAGATCGCGCCACTGCACTCCAGCCTGGGCAAAAAAAGCAAAACTCTATCTCAAACAAACAAACAAAAACGAACTGGTTTCTTGCTTACTCACCAGACTCTAACTGTCAGGGAAGACCAAGTCTTCCCTATGAACCCTCCGAAATATGACAAAATTGAGGACATGGCCATGATGACTCATCTACACGAGCCTGGAGTGCTGTACAACCTCAAAGAGCGCTATGCAGCCTGGATGATCTACGTGAGTGTCTGTAAACACCTTTTTATTTCATGTCTCTCTCTGAGTAAAAACGAGATCCAAATGATAAATGTTCTGATCTTCCCAGACCTACTCAGGCCTCTTCTGTGTCACCGTCAACCCCTACAAGTGGCTGCCGGTGTACAAGCCCGAGGTGGTGGCTGCCTACAGAGGCAAAAAGCGCCAGGAGGCCCCGCCCCACATCTTCTCCATCTCTGACAATGCCTATCAGTTCATGTTGACTGGTGAGTGAGTGAGGCATCTATTTACAGAAATGTGTAAATAGAATCTTTGCAGAACAGACAGACCTCTTCCGAGCCTCTTTATGTTATGATAATACATTCTAGCCACATGGGGCTTCACTGTTTTCAAAAAACTTTCACAGCTGTGACATCTTATGCTCTTCCCAGCAGCTACCTCCATTTTACAGATGAGTAAAGTGAAGCTCACTGAATTCACTGTCCTTCCCAAGCTAACACAGATAGTTAAGTGGAAGCCTAGCTGAAACAATTACTAGACCACTGTAAACATATTTATTGTTTTCCATATTTTGTTACTTTCCAATTTGGATAGAAAAAAGTGTTCAAACAGACTTTTTAAAAATACCCAGGCTCACAGCAGTCAACGAAAAGAGTTATCAGCCACAGCTGGAAAACTTTGTGAATTCTTATGTTTATTTTTGAATGACACAGCTAATATTGCCAGCCTTTAAGGGTAAAACATGAGTAAAGAAAGCTATGATTTTCCTCCCAAAGATTTGAAGCACTTTCCTATTACAATGAAAGGAAAAAATCTTTTCTGAGAAAAATGTTTAAATTGTATCAAAGTCTGTTACTCCTGCCTTATCAAGGCATAAACAACCAGCTTTGATACGCATTATAGGCCCAAATACAGCATTAAAACCTTTTATCTTCACACACCAAATGCACTGCCTTTGGAAATACTTTCTATTCCTGAGTTTCCTGTTGTTCCATGGAATTTTGGAAACTAAGGTGTTTTTTCTTTCTTTTTGGTTTGTTTTTTTGCACTTGTTTTTAAATTGTCTTTTCGAGGGGGAGAATAAAGAGGAAGGAATAAAATAGGAATCTCCCATTACAAATTGGCCATCAATTCTACAAGGATTCTATGCCAGTAAACTGTTCTTTGATTGTCAACAGAAGCTAACTACCTCCCAGAAATTATCCAAACGCTGGCTCATTTCAGAGGTTTTAATACTCAACAGCTGCATTTACACAGCTATGTACACCACCCCTGTCCTCCCACTCAGCAAGCCCCCCGCTCCCCAGGGTTTGGGGCTGCTCCAAATTCAAGGTTACTTATGGCTCCCAAACATGATTTTTGTACAAAATGGTACAGAGCTCTAGCCTTTGAGCTGGTGAGTGTTATTTTAGCATTGCCAAGAGACCAGAACATTGTTTTCTCATCTGTGCTTCCACTAGATGTGATATAATCTTCCACGGTTTTACTTATACTAGAAAACAAATCTATCTGAATAGGATGCAAAATCTGCATCGACTTCCCTGAAGAGAAGGCTAAAGTTTTCTAAAGTCTATGTCTATATCTACATCTAAATAACATCCAGATTTATATCTATTTTCCCTGAATAGATTTTTAGGTTTTAGAATTCTCTAAAATCTATAATCTAACACTATAGAATTAGAGATTTAACAAATCAGCAAATTGATGTAAATACAACATATCAGTCACATAATTAGTGACATTTGTTTTTATTATTTAGAAATGCATATAAGATTAAAAGGAAAATAAAACAGATGAACACAAATATTCACAATTCCAGACCCCTTCCTTATTTAGTATTGCCAGAAGTCAAACTAGTGACATCAAAAGCTGGGAAGAGGCCAGGAGGATATATTTGACCTTAACTAGCTATGTACTTAATATTAGAAAAGTCACTTCCTCCTTTACAGGTCTCAGTTTCTTTATCCCTTAAATGTAAGAGTTGGCCTAAGCAATTTCTAAGATCTTTTATGCCTTCAAAATTCTGTAATTCTAATTGAAGTATTTATAAATACAATTATAAGATTCTGGGATTTTCTTTAAAATAATTCAGTGAGATTGGGATGAGGTATAGATGATATAAAATTGGCCAAATATTAATAACCATTGCATCTGTATGATGGGCACATGGGGATTCATTATATTATTGTCTCTACTTCTGTATATGTTTGAATTTTCCATAATAAATGTTTTAAAAATTAATCAAATATGTACCTTACACTCGTTAGGATGTTTACTATCAAAAAATCAGAAAATAACAAGTTTTGACAAGAACTGGAGAAATTAGAACTCTTGTACACTGTTAGTGATCATGTAAAATGATCAGCCACTGTGGAAACAGTATGGTAGTTCCTCAACAAATTAGAAATAGAATTACAGTATGATCCCACAATTCTACTTCTGAGTATATCCCCAAAAGAACTGGAAGCAGGGTCTGGAAGAGACATTTGTACAACTATGTTAATAGCAGCATTATTTACAATAGCAAAAACATGGAAGCAACCCAAGTGTCCATCAACAGATGAATGGATAAGCAAAATGTGGTATATACATGCAATAAGATATCCTGCCTTTAAAAGGAAGGAAACTCTGACATATGCTAAAATATGAATGAACCTTGAGGACACCATGCTGAGTGAAATAAGCCAGTCACAAAAAAGACAAATACTCTATGATTCCTCTTACATGAGGTACCTAGAGTAGTCAAATTCACAGAGGCAGAAAGTAGAATGGTGGGCGCCAGGGAATGGGAGGAGTAGGAGATGGGGAGTTAAGAGTTTAAGGGACACAGAGTTTCAGTTTGACAAGGTGAAAAGAATTACGGAGATGAAGGGTGATGATGATTTTACAACTTTATGAATGTACTTACTGCCAGTGATCTCTACACTTAAAAATGGTTAAGATGGTAAATTTTATGTTATGTGTATCTCATCGCAATTAAAAATTAATAAATACAAAAAGGAAGAGATGATTCTTTGCTTTCATTTTCACAAATTTTACACTGAGAAGCAATTGGCTATTTTGGAGGATAAACACAAAATCAAAACCAAAGGTGACATCTTCAAAAAGTTAAAAAGAACAAGCTGTGTTTGATCTGAACTGATTCAATACTCTTCATATTAAATATGCATTTTTTAACGGATGATTTTGAATTCTTTCACAGATCGAGAGAATCAGTCCATCCTGATCACGTATGTGATTTTTTTTCTTCTCTGATTTGCAAGGATTGTCTTAGATGTTGACAATGCAGGCCATAGTTCTCTGATCTCTTCTCTGATTTCTGTTTGACAGCGGAGAATCTGGTGCCGGAAAGACTGTGAACACCAAGCGTGTCATCCAATACTTTGCAACAATTGCAGTTACTGGAGAGAAGAAGAAGGATGAATCTGGCAAAATGCAGGTAGGTCTGATAGCCAGAGTCAAAACCTCTGTCAAGGCTCTCAGACATCTGGAGTCCCAGATGTGAGAACTGCTCCTTCCTTTGCAGGGGACTCTGGAAGATCAAATCATCAGCGCCAATCCCCTACTGGAGGCCTTTGGCAATGCCAAAACTGTGAGGAATGACAACTCCTCTCGCTTTGTGAGTCTCTTGGTCTCAACCCCTAACTTCCAGAGTAGCCACGTCTGAATTATTATTTCATTTGCATCTCTCTTTGTGTTTCAGTTTTCTAATACTAAATATTCTTTTCAAGGGTAAATTCATTAGAATCCACTTTGGTACTACAGGGAAGCTGGCATCTGCTGATATAGAAACATGTGAGTAACAGGACCATTGAAAATCAAAACAGAGAGACAAGTGATTTCATTTGCAGGGATATTTTGCCACCCTTGCTGTGCATGAAGCCTGTTAAAAGGGTAGTCTGCTGCCAGTACTGCCTGTAAGCTAATGCTAGGCTTACCCATAATCCACTGAGTGCTCCCTTTATCTCAATCTCAGACTTGATGATTCTGTAACACATCCTAGAGAAATTCCTGCCTCAGAAGCAACTATGATTTTTTTCCAGGACAAAAACTGGGCTACTTATGGGTTTCCAATACATCTCTGTGGTTTGCTCCTGATCTGAGTTTTGGTAGATGTTTCCAAGGTAGGCCCTCACCACCCAGAGTGAATCCTAGGTGATCCAAAGAAGGAGGGGATATTAGGGATCAACTAAAATACAGAGGTCATGGATCCTTCATGTGAAAAATATATTTGTCCTAGAGCAGGTATGCTTCAGTTGCTGCCCTTAGACAGTGAGAATCACTGTCTATCTGCAATTGGTCATCAAGTTGAAATCTCATTGGAGCCAAATGTAATGCTCCAAATTTGACCAAAGACGTGAGGTTCATTTACTATCTCAGAAGCATTGATACTTTTTTCAAACTCGATATCTATTTCCCTCTCCAGATCTTTTAGAAAAGTCCAGAGTTACTTTCCAGCTAAAGGCGGAAAGAAGCTACCATATTTTTTATCAGATCACTTCCAATAAGAAGCCAGATCTAATTGGTAAGAAAGAACTTAAAGTCATAGATAGAAGTTAATATTTTTATTAACAATGTCTAATGTAAAATGTATGCCCTGAATTCTGTGACCCAGAAATGCTCCTGATCACCACCAACCCATATGACTATGCCTTCGTCAGTCAGGGGGAGATCACAGTTCCCAGTATTGATGACCAAGAAGAGTTGATGGCCACTGATGTAAGTCAAAAACACTAATTTTAAAAATCCATTATGTATGGAAATGACAATAGCAAACTACTGTAGGTGTGGTTACCTTAGGATATGTATAAATTCTCTTATAAGTTAGTCTCTTCAGCCCTAACTTTTGTCCTCTCATTTTTCCTGGTAGAGTGCCATTGACATCCTGGGCTTCACTCCTGAAGAGAAAGTGTCCATCTATAAACTCACAGGGGCTGTGATGCATTATGGGAACATGAAATTCAAGCAAAAGCAGCGTGAGGAGCAAGCTGAGCCAGATGGCACAGAAGGTACCAAATGAAACTTTATCTGGGTTTAATGAGAGAATGTAGCAAAAAAAAAAATCCTATTTTACACTCACATCTCCTTTGTGGCTGGACTTGCGACTTGTGAAGGGCATATACACATTTACACACACTGCATGCTTTCCTCACCCCCTCTCTTCCTTACATCTCCATGTCTCCATCATTTCCATCCAGCCCAAATAAGTCACAAACAAACCCCAATAGCCACTTATAAGCACAAACTATGAGATAGAATGAGATATAATAGTGCTCCTGGTTGGCCTTGGCAACGAAGGTGGGTATATGTAGATAACTGTAGACTGCTCTATTTCAGCACTAGATAGGAAGACCCTAGGAACTGACAGCAGAGAATCTGCCCAAATACAGGGCTGGGGAGAAAGATACCCCTAGAGTCATCTGTAAGCAAGTGTGTATTGTCTGTATATAAATCCATAGACAATATAGGCAGCAAGTAAGAGTTAAAAAAAGGAATTGAGAAAAAAGATCATATATTCTACGTATGGAAAGAGCACGCAATATACAGGATCTACCCCAGAAAGACAGTTATCGCTCCTTAAAGCCTTTCCTGACCACCTCGAATTGACATTCTTTCTTCCTCCTCTAAATGTTTCAGCAGTTACTGGTGTACCTGACATGTGGCATTTATTTACGTTATAGTCACCGACAGAATTTTAGAAAGGGATTCTGTAGGGATCATGCAGTAAATTTTAATCTCCACATTTGTAGATAAAGAAATTAATCCAGCAAGGTTTAATAGGGAGGTGAAAAACTAAGATAAGAATCAAAATATTCTGACTTTTACCCTCTCTAACAGTGAATATTTATCTTATCCTTCCAACTACACCTAATGTGTCTTAAAAACAGGGACTATGGCTTTTACTTACAAAAAACTGCAAGACGGCAATAAATACTACATATGTTTACAGTTGATGAAAAATTTCTTAAAAACTACTTGAAATAAATCACTAAAGATCAGTATAACCAATCAACCATTTACTGGCAACCACATGCTCTAAGGTTAGAAAACCTCATTTGGCCTTTTATAGAATTATTTAAGCTTTTTATTTAAATAATAGATTGAATTGGAGAAAAATGGAAAGATTAGGTAAAAGAGGATATCCTTCATGAAACAACATGTCCTGAACTGTGTCTCTGCAGTCGCTGACAAGGCAGCCTATCTCCAGAGTCTGAACTCTGCAGACCTACTCAAAGCCCTCTGCTACCCTAGGGTCAAGGTTGGCAATGAGTATGTCACCAAAGGCCAGACTGTGCAGCAGGTAAGTGCATGACCTCAATGAATCACACACATCTCAGGCCTTCATGGCATGTCTTTAACAATACCAACAAACATTACTCTATCTGTGAAGGTGTACAATGCGGTGGGTGCTCTGGCCAAAGCCGTCTACGAGAAGATGTTCCTGTGGATGGTCACCCGCATCAACCAGCAGCTGGACACCAAGCAGCCCAGGCAGTACTTCATCGGGGTCTTGGACATTGCTGGCTTTGAAATCTTTGATGTGAGTTATATTAACAAGAATTAAGAAGGAGGCAATTGTGGGCTTTGATATATTAGGTATTATCATTATTCATCCACATTTATAGCGTCCATATTACTTGCTCCAACACTGCACCTAGAACAAAGGTTATCTCCAAAATAGGAGGTAACATAATGTACTACTAATAATAGCTAACGCTCACTGGGCCAGCAGTGTACACTAGGGACTTCAAAACGTTACCATATTTAATCTTCAAAACAACCCAAGGAGTAGCTAATATTCCCCCAACTTATATAGAAGAAACTAAGATGCAGGGAAATCAAAACACTAGCTAAAGATCCCACAGGTGCATAAGACAAATCCAGGACAGCAACCCAGATCTACAGCATTTGATCCATACACAAGGCTTCTTCATAGAGAAGAAAAGGCCCAAAGGTAGAAGCCTAGAGACAGATGATAGTCTGTCTCTCCTCTTCCAGATTTGTCTTACATAAACTATTTTACCTCCAGGGCATCAGTTCACCATCTATAAAATAAAGGAGTAAATTATTACAAAGACCTTTTAGATCTTCAACTGCTATACTATATCAGGTCCCTGCTTTCACACACCTGACGAGGGGGATTTGCTAAATGTCTGATATAAATAGAAGAGAAATTACCCTAATGATTTCACTTTATACACCAAGACCTTTATATTAAAGGTCTTAAGATCAGCTTTCCTTAATAATGTAACAGCCAAAGGTGAAAATGTGAACTTTATTTTGAATTGGAGAGTGGGAGTGGTGAAAGAAGTGAGAATTTCCAATCAACTCCTTTCCCTTTTACCTTTGAATCGAAACCATAACACAGGACCATGGTTGAACTTTTAAAGTATATTCTTGCCCATGCAATCTTAGAGGAGAAAAGGTAAATTCTACCAGAATTCTTGTTCTAACATTGATATCTGGGACCCTCAACAATGCCTGGGATTCATGAGAAAGGCTCACGTGAATAATGATTTTTTTTTTTTTTTTCTGAGACAGGGTCTCGCCCAGCCACCCAGGCTGGTGTGCAGTGGCGCGATCTCAGCTCACTGCAACCTCCACCTCCAGGGTTCAAGCAATTTTCCTGCCTCAGCCTTCCGAGTAGCTGGGACTACAGGTGCACGCCACCACACCCAGATAATTTTTTGTATTTTCAGTAGAGACAGAGTTTCACCATGTTGGCCAGGATGGTCTCAATCTCTTGACCTCATGATCCACCCACCGCGGCCTCCCAAAGTGCTGGGATTACAGGTGTGAGCCACCGTGCCCGGCCAATGATCATTTTTTGAGGGAGCAACGTTAGTTTTAACTGTATCTCATTACTACATTCCACATTTTTTCAATAAAAGAATTTTTTCAGTAATGAATTTTACTACTATAAAACTCATTTGATGTTGGAAATCTCTATTATTTTGTGTAGTTTAACAGCCTGGAGCAGCTGTGCATCAACTTCACCAACGAGAAACTGCAACAGTTTTTCAACCACCACATGTTTGTGCTAGAGCAGGAGGAGTACAAGAAGGAAGGCATCGAGTGGACGTTCATTGACTTTGGGATGGACCTGGCTGCCTGCATTGAGCTCATTGAGAAGGTCGGTTTGGTTTCCAAAGAAGGGCAGACTGTGAGGATCACTTTCCAGAAATCTTAAGCAATTCTAGAAAGTATTACTGTAATCTCAAATGGTTTGTGATCTGAACAAACTGGAAAATTACTATTTAGAAATTACTTCCTCTTTTTAACTTCTACATAAGAAAGATCTGACAGTGTTTACTTTTATTCTGTTCTAACCATTCTTATTCTGACACTGGATCAAATCCAACTTTAACACAGCACTGAAAACTCTATTTGAGATGTTCTGCTTTACTACAACTACTGTCCTCATTAGTTCTTGATCTATCTCCATTATGATCCATGATGTCCACAATAAAAATATTTTTCTATATAAAAATTAATGCACACATGACACAGTTAGTGCTTTCATGAAAGCCAATCTGTTCAAAGTCAAGAAGTCAAACTGCATACGCTACTTCATAATCTATTTTATTTATTTATTTATTTATTTATTGAGACAGGGCCTCACTCTGTCGCCCAGGCTGAAGTGCAGTGGTGCAATCACAGCTCACTGAAGCCTCAACCCCAAGGCTCAAGCGATCCTCTCACCTCAGCCTCCCGAGTAGCTGGGACCACAGGCATGTGCCACTATGCTTAGCTAATTTTTGTATTCTTTGTACAGACGGTGTTTTGCCATGGTCCCCAAGCTGGTCTTGAACTCCTGAGTTCAAGTGATCCTCCTGTCTTGGCCTCCCAAAGTGTTGGGATTACAGGCATGAGCCACTGTGCTCAGCCTATAATCTATTTTAAAGAAATTAAATACCCAAAATATCTTGAATAAAATTTGGTTGTTTATACTGTTTAATTACTGCATAGAGTCAACATCATAAGTCAGTAAGCTATTTTCATAACGAAGAAAAACTCTGACAATAGATTTATTCACTGAATAGGAAAAAAGTATAATAATACATAACATTTTAACATGCGGTGTTGAGGAAGTTTGTATCCAGCTATTCTTTTAATTGAAAGTAATGCTACAGATTGAATGTGAGAAGAATAGTGGAAAAGTCATTCTAGTGATAACAAGGGACTTCTTCGAGCTGTGACCCTGGTTTATTTCATACATATATTTAATTGGGGTGCTCATAATTCAATCAAATGACAGCCACCATGTCTCTATCTTTTGAGAGAAGTTAGGTTGACACCAATGTTACTTTTCTGAATTCAGCCACTGGGCATCTTCTCCATCCTGGAAGAGGAGTGCATGTTCCCTAAGGCAACGGACACCTCCTTCAAGAACAAGCTGTATGACCAGCACCTGGGCAAGTCTGCCAACTTCCAGAAGCCCAAGGTGGTCAAAGGCAAGGCTGAGGCCCACTTCTCTCTGATTCACTATGCTGGCACTGTGGACTACAACATTACTGGCTGGCTGGACAAAAATAAGGACCCCCTGAATGATACTGTGGTTGGGCTGTACCAGAAGTCTGCAATGAAGACTCTAGCCAGTCTCTTTTCCACGTATGCTAGTGCTGAAGCAGGTACTTTCTGTGTCCTTAATCTAAATTAAATCCATTCTCACATAATGTTATAATACATGTTCATATAAGCCTCTGGTATTCTATTCTTATTCACGGGTTTTCTTTTTACCTCAGATAGCAGCGCGAAGAAAGGTGCTAAGAAAAAGGGCTCTTCTTTCCAGACTGTGTCTGCCCTTTTCAGGGTAAAGTACAAATTTAATTTGAAATATCTACTCAGTTTCTATGAATTATCATAATTAAGGATTTAGAAAAAATTATGAGGCAATAAAATGTTAATAGGAATCACTTCAAATATCAGCTCTCGTCAGAGTATAGCCAAAGAAATACTACTCCTGTAGGAACGGATGCTTTACCCATTATTCCTTATTACGATTATCTAATGTATTCAGGATTGCCAAAATGCCCTTAGAAACTTTCTCATTATATAATGAGGCTGATTTCTAAAGAAGTATAGCTAAACTTCAAAGCTGTCCCTGTGGAAGGTCATATTCTTATTCCGCTTTGAATGCTGCCCTTTGAAAATGTTCCTGAGTTCCTCTTTGAGAATGAGCCTCAGATACACTCTTCATAACATCTTTCACCAAAACATATCTTTGTCCTCTGAGGTGAATTTAATTTTTCATTACAGCTGAAAATCATCTAAAGCCAAGCCCAGTGACTTAAATGGATCATTAAGATACGAAATATCTCTTGAGATTAAAGAATAATAATTTCACTACAAAGTAATGTGATTTTCCTATGTAGCTTAAAAACTTGTTCTTATATATGGACTAATAATGGCTTTTTAATCAAAATGTGTATGGCTAAGTCTCATTCCTTATAAAACTAAAATACAGACACGACATACGACCTATGATCTAAACAAGAAAACTACTCTTGTTCTTTTTCTTTCTCACAACCAATTTGCATTATCTTACCAAATAGACTTTTGTTTTATCAACTTGTTTTCATACATGTTTTCAAAATTAGGAACTCACATTACTTATTTTCTTCATTTCCTAATGGTTAACTGAGCTGTGGGAAAAAAAATCTGCCTTCTTGGCCGGGCGCAGTGGCTCACACCTGTAATCCCAGCACTTTGGGAGGCTGAGGCGGGCAGATCACGAGGTCAGGAATTCAACACCAGCCTGGCCAATATGGTGAAACCCCATCTTTACTAAGAATATAAAAATTAGCCGGGCATAGTGGTGCACGCCTATAGTCCCAGCTACTCGGGAGGCTGAGGCAGAAGAATCGCTTGCACCCAGGAGGTAGAGGTTGCAGTGGACCGAGATTGCACCACTGTACTCCAGCCTGGGCAACAGAGCGAGATTCTGTCAAAAAAAAAAAAAAAAATCTGCCTTCTTAAGAGTATATCTAGTCTCAGGTACCCAACACCCACCAACCCAAGGTTATATAGTTTCATAATTTTATTTTATTTTATTTATTTATTTTTTTTTCGAGACAGAGTCTTGCTCTGTCACCCAGGCTGTAGTGCAGTGACACAATCTCAGCTCACTGCAAACTCTGCCTCCTGGTATCAGGTAATTCTCCTGCCTCAGCCTCCCAAGTAGCTGGTATTACAGGCACCCGTCACCAGACCTGGCTAATTTTTGTATTTTTAGTAGAGATGGGGTTTCACTACGTTGCCCAGGCTGGTCTCGAACTCCTGACCTCATGATCCGCCCGCTTTGGCCTCCTAAGGTGCTGGGATTACAGGCGTGAGCCACCATGCCTGGCCAGTTTCACAATTTTAGACTCTTCAAAAATCAAAAGAAAACAAGAGGGTAAGAGGTCCCAGGAAATATTACACTCAAGGAAGGAAAGGCAAAAGTTAGGACAATTGCTAACTTAGGTTACCACTGTAAACTGCTACTGTGAAAATTATTAGCACTGAGAGAGATGAAAGAGACCTCACAAACAATCTCAACTATTCTCAGATAATGCCCAGAGAAAAAATGGATTTTATACAGTCAGGCAGTTCATTAGTGGCATAGCAAAGCCATCATGTTTTGTCTTGTGATTCTCGGTTGAGAACCCTTCCTTGTACATCACAAGGTTACTGAATTGCAATTTGTTTATGAGACAGATCCCTGGTGTTACAAAGGAATACCTTGGAGATGTGCATTCCTTCCAACCACTTTGGCCTTTTTGTTATTTGGCAGGCTAGAACTCTTGAGACCCTCAAAATACAGAGCAATTGAAGCCTCACAGATGCATGCCTAGTAGTTAAAGGACTGTCTAGGTTCATTCCATATAATTACAAAAAACAACCTGAAATAGAACTTTTTCATCAAGTCCTTTCTGTCTGGTTTTCTAGGAAAATTTAAATAAATTGATGACGAATCTGAGGAGCACACACCCTCACTTCGTACGGTGTATCATTCCCAATGAAACCAAAACTCCTGGTAAGACACAGAGAGTGAAATAATCAAACGGGCACAGGTTTGAAAGTTAAATGCCCACTAATAAGTACTGTTCTATATTTTTAGGGGCAATGGAACATGAACTTGTGTTGCACCAGCTGAGGTGTAATGGTGTGCTGGAAGGCATCCGCATCTGTAGGAAAGGATTCCCAAGCAGAATCTTATATGGTGATTTCAAACAAAGGTCAGTCTTCTTTGATGTATTTCATTAACACTGTGAATTAGTATGTATTAAAAAATTAAGAAGTCGAATAATATAGTCTTGTGGTGGTAGGATAATACAACAGGTTAGAAGGATAACAGGAAGCAGGCATGCAACAGAAAATCATATTGTTTTACTATCTGTCCTTAAACGGCAGTTGGATTTTCCACTTTTATTTCTACTCTCAGATGTTTGTTGATATTTCTTTTTGGTGTCATTTTGTTGGCATGTGGTCACATTTTCCTAACCATTCTTTCTTTCTTTAACTGAGCAGATACAAGGTTTTAAATGCAAGTGCTATTCCAGAGGGACAGTTCATTGACAGCAAGAAGGCTTCTGAGAAACTTCTTGCATCTATTGATATTGATCATACTCAATATAAATTTGGACATACCAAGGTATATCGTTATTTATTTACACCTGATCCAAGTACCTTCTGCCATTTCTGCATCTCCTGCAGTATGGAGATGATTTGTGACTCTCTCTTTCTCCAGGTTTTCTTCAAAGCTGGACTTCTGGGTCTTCTGGAAGAAATGAGAGATGAAAAATTAGCCCAAATTATAACAAGAACACAAGCTGTCTGTAGGGGATTCCTAATGAGGGTAGAATATCAGAAGATGTTGCAAAGGAGGTAACAATCATTCAGAATATCAGAATTATAAGGTCCCTTAAGGACTATCAATCAGTCTTGTTCATTCATTAATTCTTTCATTTGGTGGCTAATAGTTCCTCTCACCCAATTCAGAACTCACTCCTACAACACAGCAGCCTTTGCTTCAGCTCTCACACTTGGATTCCTTTCAAAACTTCTCTCCTACCTCCAGCCATCTCACATACAGCCACAGGAATAGTTTGCAGTAAGCAGTATTTTCATCAAGCTAGTTGCTTGCTTGCCTGTCAAGGCCCTCTCTATTCCCCACCTCATCTATCATTTCCAAGCACATAGCCTTTTCCAGCCAGGCTAAACAATTTGCTTATCTACTAATCTCTCATTTGCTTATCTTCTTATCTCATCTCTCCCCTCATCCTAATTTATCTATTTACCAATTTAAAACTTTAATTTCCCCTTTCTGTAACTAATCTCACCCAGTTTATCTACCCAACACTATTGCATTCCCTCTACTTACACACACACTGTGCATTCATTTTTCTTATCTGTAATCATTTAGGCCTGCACTGGAAGTGTTCCTGAGTCTTTCCCATGTGTGAACGTTATGGTTTGTGTCAAGGTATCTGCTTTCATAGAGTTACAAGTCTTAAAAACTGGACCTATAGAGATAGAATTTCCATTTTAACAAGCTTGAAGAAACATACACATTGCTACAAGTAGTCAAACCTAGCCAGTCTATGGCTATAGTTTGCAGTAGGGGTACCTTTTATTACTATTTTTCACTTTATTTCAATAAAATAAATTTTAGAGCTCAACAGATGCTGAATGCCTCGCAAATATTAACAATCCAATTAATCAGTTAAGACTGAGGCACTTGAAAGAATTTGAGATAAGCCAGTGTATTATCTGAAGAAGCTAGCAAAAAAAGTTTATAGAGTGGATAATTCAGTGTTGTTCAAAATAAGAGGAGCAACTTCAAGGAAGAGATGACAAATCATTCGCTCAGTTTAGGTGGGCCATTCAGAAGGCAACCTATGTCATTTCACAGTTCTCATCCATATGCCCACAGACAGGCAGCACAATCAACATGCAATCACCATGCCCACCCTCAAATCACTAATACTGTCATATGTCAAATGGTATGTGCTGATCATACATTCAAAATATTCACCCCTAAAGTCACTCTCTTGGCTAGTTTGATAGGGATTGAGAACACAGAAGATGTGCTCAATATGAACCGTACTCATATTAGCAAAGTGGTTATACTGAGGGCTACTGACCATGAGTGTGAGCGCGAGAATGTGTGTACATGTGTGTGTGTGTGTGTGTGTGTGTAAAGCCTGCATATAATATATAGAGAATGTGACATATTTATTTGTGAGCGGCATTCATTAAAAGGGAAATTTGTGTGTGATAAGTAACAATAACATTGGCTCTGATGGATTAGTCTACACTGATATTTTCATGTCATCGCAGAGAAGCACTTTTCTGCATCCAGTATAATGTCCGTGCCTTCATGAACGTCAAGCACTGGCCCTGGATGAAACTCTTTTTCAAGATTAAGCCCCTCCTCAAGAGTGCAGAGACCGAGAAAGAGATGGCCACCATGAAGGAAGAATTCCAGAAAACCAAAGATGAACTCGCCAAGTCAGAGGCAAAACGGAAGGAGCTAGAGGAAAAAATGGTCACTCTCTTAAAAGAGAAAAATGACCTGCAACTCCAGGTTCAATCTGTGAGTACTCCATATTCTGAATGCACCATGTTACTGAAGCTTTTTTGAAACACACATATACTTTGGATTTACAAATGATCTCTACTTGAAAAAAAATCTCAAGTTGCTGTTTTTAATACCTCATTTATCTTTTAGTATTCTATGGGGAAGAAAAGGCACAATTATTTCCAAGTTACAATGGGAAAAGGAAAGATTGAAGAATTTGTTTAAATAATATCACAAAATTTAACAGCCATGAAGGAAGTAGCTTAAAGCCAATCCCCCAAGTCTCAGTCAAATATTTTACCCCTTTGCCTGGGCTACTTTAGCCCAGCATTAAAAGTATAGCTCTATTTTCTAAATGCAAGTCTATGAGATTGTATTTAAATTCAAACTTATTTATTTCTGTATCTCCTTTCCCCAACCCCCAAGATTTAGCTCAATAAATCTATCTGTATTTAATGGAACTGAACTACCAGCATGTCAGGCAGAGCAATGTGTCCTCCTGATTCTTCCTCTGATACAAATCTCTAGTTCCTAGAGTCTGTTTATTGGTGCAGGAAGGAGGGGCAGTTGGGGTGGGGAGTAGGTTTGGCATGAACACTTTGGTCAAAGGTAACCTCCCATTTCCTTGGTTCAGCAAACCTAACAATATCATAAACTAACCTGTGAAAAGGATAGTTTTCCCACTTTTTTTCAGCAACTTTCAATTTTTCCTTCTGATACCTTCATTTATATGAAGGTTACATTTTTCCAAAAGCACAGGACCATAGCCTCTCTATCTTACCATCTTTTCACAGTTATCATTAGTCAGTGAGTAAATATGTATTGAGTGTATCACTATTAAAAATAAATATATTAAGCAGTAAAGCTCAAAAAAAGAAAAAAGAAAAGAATCCCCCAATAAGTTCCCATTATATTCCATTTAAACGTTTTTTAAACTCAAGAACAAAACAAACACTGGGAGTTAAAAAATATTCCCCAGGCCAAGGTAACCTAATAAATTAGACTGGATTGATTTTTATTTGAATCCTTTCATTAGTCACTTATAAAAACTTTATTGAGCTATACAGTTTCTGAGAATTACATTTTCTCATATATTCTAAAATTCATTTTGATAATTATTGGGAGAGGGGAGAGGGCCACAAATGGAATGGACAAGGCAAATGTGGCATAACTTAGCAACTGGTAAATCTAGGTTCATAACATATCACTGTTCATTCTATTTTTTTTTCCTAACTTGACATATGGGTTTGAACATTTTCAAAATTTCAGGGGCTCAACATAGACTTTCCACATTAACCAGATTTAGAAGGGAATGGGAAAACAAAAGCAAACAAAAACACAAAAGCAGAAAGGGCTAAGAACAGTTCATCAATCTTTCCTTAACTAGAATTGTCCTGGGCATGAGAACCTCTAGCCTAGTCAATGGTACAACTCTCTGAAAATTATGTTGCAGTTTAGGCCTATTGCCCATGTTGTGTATAAAAATGAAACAATGAAACCACAAAACTTAAAGAACATTTTTGTTACACTGGGGAAATCTGAATATAGACTGTATATTAGATAATATTATTGTATCAGTGATTAATATTTTCATTTGTAATAACAGTATTGTAGTTATATAGGAGAATGTTCATGTCCTTAGGAGAGAAATGCTAAAATATGATATCTGCCATTTACTTTCAAATGATTTAGGAGAGTGTGTGTGTGTGTGTGCGTGCACATGTGCCTATATATGTGTCTATGTGTGTGTTTAGAGAGAGAAAAAACAGTAAAATGTTAAAAATACGAGGATTTAGGTAAATGGTATATGGCAATTTATTGTATTATTCATACAGCTATTCGGTAAGTTTAACAGTTTTCAAAATAAAAGTTGGGGTAAAAGTTCCAAAAAATAAAATTCACCTTAAGACTAATGGGTAATTCTGTAAATGGAAATGTAAATTTTGAACAATTATAGCACTGTATGAACTACCAGGAAGGTTTTAGTGTATTAAAAAATACTACATGGAAATGTATTTAAATTATTTTTCTTCTTTTTCTTTCTTCAATACAGCCTAGCAATTATTGGTTTGAGGGGGACAGGGAATGATCAAAACCAAAACTAACCAATTTAACTAAATCAAAATCTTTAAATATTACAGCTGAAAAGCTCTTGGCAATCATTTATTCCAACCCATATATATATATACACAAAATTGAGAATGAAAGGAATAAAGCAATTTGCCCAAAGTCATACATATGCAAACAATATTGGGACAAGAACCCAGGCTTCCTTTTGCCCGATTTAGAGGTCTTTCCACTCTTCTACAAATTATTTTTTAAATAATCAATAGCTCCAATCCAATAACTTTGCAAACTAGTTTGCTTCTAAAGCTATAGTCTCACTTCCAATAAGCTGCATTTCTCCAGACCATGTAATAATGTTCGATTAAATTAAATTTATATTCATACTGAAAAATTCAACAGAATTCAATAAAACACTATTATTTTTGCGCAAAAAAAACACCAAGTTTCAAAATAAGTAACAGACTCTAAGTATCTGAATGAATCTCTCCATAGGAAGCAGATAGCTTGGCTGATGCAGAGGAAAGGTGTGAGCAACTGATTAAAAACAAAATCCAACTTGAGGCCAAAATCAAAGAGGTGACTGAAAGAGCTGAGGAGGAGGAAGAGATCAATGCTGAGCTGACAGCCAAGAAGAGAAAACTGGAGGATGAATGTTCAGAACTCAAGAAAGACATTGATGACCTTGAGCTGACACTGGCCAAGGTTGAGAAGGAGAAACATGCCACGGAGAACAAGGTATCAGTCATATTTTACAATACTGTATAGAGGTTCTGCCACCAACTAAATTGCTTTATAGGAGAAATAATCTCTTTCTTAACCTTTGTAGGTGAAAAATCTTACAGAAGAGATGGCAGGCCTGGATGAAACCATTGCAAAACTGTCCAAGGAGAAGAAGGCTCTCCAAGAGACCCACCAGCAGACCCTGGATGACCTGCAGGCAGAGGAGGACAAAGTCAACATCCTGACCAAAGCTAAAACCAAGCTAGAACAGCAAGTGGATGATGTAAGCACATTTTAAATATCCCTTTGAAAGATTTTTTTAAAAATATATACTTTCAATTTTTACCATATTTACTTTCTTATTAGCTTGAAGGGTCTCTGGAACAAGAAAAGAAGCTTCGAATGGATCTAGAAAGAGCAAAGCGGAAACTGGAGGGTGACCTCAAATTGGCCCAAGAATCCACAATGGATATGGAAAATGACAAACAGCAACTTGATGAAAAGCTTGAAAAGTAGGAGCCTTTTAGAAAAAAACTTCTATGTGATATCATCTTTCAATTCACATGAGTATTAATACGTCTTGCTCTTCTGTCTAAAGGAAAGAATTTGAAATCAGCAATTTGATAAGCAAAATTGAAGATGAGCAAGCTGTAGAAATTCAACTACAGAAGAAGATCAAAGAGTTGCAGGTGAGTCATCTCACCTCTATTTTTTCTGCACACCAAAAAAACACTGAAGTTGAGATGAGTTTATGTTTATGTGCTTCTTTCATTCCCAGGCCCGCATTGAGGAGCTGGGGGAAGAAATCGAGGCAGAGAGGGCGTCCCGAGCCAAAGCGGAGAAGCAGCGCTCTGACCTCTCCCGGGAACTGGAGGAGATCAGCGAGAGGCTGGAAGAAGCCGGTGGGGCAACTTCTGCTCAGGTGGAATTGAACAAGAAGCGGGAGGCTGAGTTTCAGAAACTGCGCAGGGACCTGGAGGAGGCCACCCTGCAGCATGAAGCTATGGTGGCTGCTCTTCGGAAGAAGCACGCAGACAGTATGGCTGAGCTTGGGGAGCAGATTGACAACTTGCAGCGGGTCAAACAGAAGCTGGAGAAGGAGAAGAGTGAGCTGAAGATGGAGACTGATGACCTCAGCAGTAACGCAGAGGCCATTTCCAAAGCCAAGGTACCCAATACTGTCTCTAAATGAAGGTAATCATCTGTAAGAACACCCATTATTCTCTATCACTAAACATTGTTTGCAGGCATTTTACAGCACTACTCAAATATTTTCTAACCAAATATATCCCATTCTATGGTATTTTTTAAAATGCTGGTTATGATCGATTAAGATGATTTTTTTTTGGAGCGGGGGGATGGAGTCTCACTCTGTCGCCCAGGCTGAAGTGCAGTGGCGCAATCTCGGCTCACTGCAAGCTCCGCCTCCCGGGTTCACGCCACTCTCCTGCCTCAGCCTCCCCAGTAGCTGGGACTACAGGCGCCCGCCAGCACGCCTAGCTAATTTTTTGTATTTTTAGTAGAGACGGGGTTTCACCGTGTTAGCCAGGATGCTCTCGATCTCCTAACCTCATGATCCGCCCGCCTCGGCCTCCCAAAGTGCTGGGATTACAGGCATGAGCCACCGCGCCCGGCCTATTAAGATGATTTCAAAATCCACTTTAAGCAAGCGTCAATATCATTGGAATAAATGGTCTCCAACAATGACCAGTTTAGGCACACTATGCACTCGCCATGCCTAAATTCTTGCATGTTCCACAGAGTTGATGTCCTAACTTTCTACTCACACTTGACATGAATTTATTTACTCTACAAATATTTTAAGAATCAAGTTTTAACCTTTTTATTGCATTCAATGTCTCATCTTTCATTGCTACATATCCTGTAGGGAAACCTTGAAAAGATGTGCCGCTCTCTAGAAGATCAAGTGAGTGAGCTTAAGACCAAGGAAGAGGAGCAGCAGCGGCTGATCAATGACCTCACAGCACAGAGAGCGCGCCTGCAGACAGAAGCGGGTAAAGACATCTTCTCTGGGTCCCAACACCATGGACTAAATAAAATGGATTCTAGGGGTTCTAATAAATAGCAATATTCCCACTTTAGAGAAAGATAAACAAATGATCAGAGTTTGCTAAGAAGGTCAAAAAGGAAAGAAGTCAAGACTGAGCAGACAAGTTTACTTACAACACTTCTATGGCAATGCTGCTTTTAAATCTCCGGTTCTAACCAGTGCTAAAAAAATACTTAGAAGCAGATGAAGTGTAGATTAAACACATCACACACAAACAGACACACACACACACACACAGGTTGAGTATCCCTAATCTGAAAATCAAAAATCTGAAATGCTCCAAAATTCAAAACTGAGGGCTGACATGATGTCCAAAGGAAATGCTCACTGCAGCATTTCAGATTTTAGATTTTCGGATTAGGGATGCTGAACTGGCAAGTGTAATGCAAATATTCTAAAATCAAACAAAAATCTGAAATCTGAAACACTTCTGGTCCCAAGCATTTCAGGTAAGGTATATACAACTTGTATATATATATATATATATATATACACACACACATATATACATATATATATACACACACACATATATAAATGTAAAAGGTTTAGGCTTATTTTTATGCCAGTAAAAAATTCCCTTATGTCTATTATTCCTAGGTGAATATTCTCGACAATTAGATGAGAAAGATGCTTTAGTCTCTCAGCTTTCAAGGAGCAAGCAAGCATCTACTCAGCAGATTGAAGAGCTGAAACATCAACTAGAGGAAGAAACTAAAGTGAGTTTTGCCAAGGATTTTTTTGACTAACCAAATCTAAACCTGCCCAGTTAGGCTCTACTTGGGATGTGTAAGTTAAATATCACTGAATACATGAATTTATGTCACTGAACTGCTACTTCTGCAGGCCAAGAACGCCCTGGCACACGCCCTGCAGTCCTCCCGCCATGACTGCGACCTGCTGCGGGAACAGTATGAGGAAGAGCAGGAAGGCAAAGCTGAGCTGCAGAGGGCGCTGTCCAAGGCCAACAGTGAGGTTGCCCAGTGGAGAACCAAATACGAGACGGATGCCATCCAGCGCACAGAGGAGCTGGAGGAGGCCAAGTATGTGCTGTGAACTCTAGAAGAGGAACTCCCAGAAGCAGCTGTGATATTTATGATGATGATAACATAACAATAGCAAAAGCTAACATTTATTGAGTGCATACTGTGTCAAGTATTATATATATATAATGTATGCATGTATATCAGCTTATTTACCTTCATAACAATATTATATTGGTATCATTATTCTAATCCCCATTTTACAGATGAGGAAGTTGAGGCTGTAAGTTGTTAACCAACTAACCCAAAAGTATCTGCTTAATAAATGATACAGCTGGGTTTGGAGCCTGTCATTCTGATTCTACAGCCCACCTTCTTAAGCACTGAGTAGAAGACATACCTCTTAAAACTCATGTTGGAGGCCACCAAACCATACATAATGTTTAGGGTTGGCCTAAATAAAGTGAAGCCTTAGTCTGCATATAGACAAACGGAGACCTTCAAGTAGATCTCCCTGGGCATCAAGCCAAAGGTTTTTCACTACCATAAGGATGTGTACTTGGCACACAACTGAAAATGAACTGAGAATGTAGAGAATTCAGGAGGGAAAAAAAACCTGCCTTTGTTTAAACTGCACGAATTGTCCTGATTTATGTATCAGTTTCTTTCCCAGGAGAGATTGTCCAACTATAATGATTAGAAGAAACTGGCTATTCTCTAGGAAAAAAACACATAAAATGGAATGAAAAGTCTGAGAAAGCAAATGAATATGCTCAGTATATTTCTGGCCAGTAAAATATCTAGTTAACCTCAAATCCATATTGGAGTGAGAATGGATATATAAGTCAAACAACAAGATTGTCCTGGCTAATAATTTTCCACAGTCATACTCAATCAGAAGTCTTGAAAATCCTGAGTTACTTAGGTAGTAAGGCGCATACAATGGCAGCACTAACAGCAGCCTCTTAGAATTCTATAATATTCCCAGGACTTGTTTCCAACTCTTCACCACTTTGGATCTTTCCATACAGTTTACCAATCTAGAAAGCAGTTCTGGCTGCCACCGTTTTGAAAATCATATGCCATTTGCCAGTATAGAAACAGGACCGTGGCCAGGCACAGTGGCTCACACCTGTAATCCCAGCACTTTGGGAGGCCAAGGCGGGTGGATCACCTGAGGTCAGGAGTTCAAGACCAGCTTGGCCAACATATGGTGAAACCCTGTCTCTATTTAAAAAAAAATATACATATATACAAAAATTAGCTGGGCATGGTGGTGCACATCTGTAATCCCAGCTACTTGGGAAACTGAGGCAGGAGAATCGCTTGAACCCGGGAGGTCGCAGTGACCGAGATTGCACCACTGCACTCCAGCATGGGCGACAGAGCGAGACTCCGTCTCTCAAAAAAAGAAACAAAAGAAAAGAAAAGAAATAGGACTGTGAAAAGGGACCAAGGAGGTTATCACTTTGCTTCTGGTCTTGGCCATTCTCCTGACTGCCTGGCTAACTTTTCAGGAAAAAGTTGGCCCAGCGCCTGCAAGAAGCTGAGGAACATGTAGAAGCTGTGAACGCCAAATGTGCTTCCCTTGAGAAGACGAAGCAGCGGCTCCAGAATGAAGTTGAAGACCTCATGCTTGATGTGGAAAGGTCTAATGCAGCCTGTGCAGCCCTTGATAAGAAGCAAAGGAACTTTGACAAGGTGGCCCAGACTGCTTAAACTTTAAGAGTGTTTTACTCGGTCTTCCTTTCTCCTTGGATCAACTCATGATTTATTGCTTTTCAGGTCCTATCAGAATGGAAGCAGAAGTATGAGGAAACTCAGGCTGAACTTGAGGCCTCCCAGAAGGAGTCACGTTCTCTTAGCACTGAGCTGTTCAAGGTGAAGAATGTCTATGAGGAATCCCTGGATCAACTCGAAACGCTAAGAAGAGAAAATAAGAACTTGCAACGTGAGTCCTCACAGTCCTCCCTACTCCATATATCCCTGGGAGGACCTTTCCATGTTGCCATCTTTCTGACCATTTCTCTCCTGTCTGTTCAACCACAGAGGAGATTTCTGACCTCACTGAGCAGATTGCAGAGGGAGGAAAGCAAATTCATGAATTGGAGAAAATAAAGAAGCAAGTAGAACAAGAGAAATGTGAAATTCAGGCTGCTTTAGAGGAAGCAGAGGTACATATTACCTTGTATTATGTTATGGAAAAACAAAGACAAACATCAGTTAAAAAAAAGTGGGGCTAGTGATAATTTAAACTCACAGGATCTTTATGAAGGACAACTTGGCAATAGTTATCAAAATCCTTAAAAATGTAAATACTCTGACCTATCAATTCTATTTCTAAGATTTTATCACCCAAAAGATGTCAAATGGAGTAAAGCTTTAAGGCAAAGATGTGCAATCTAAGAACAAAAGTAAGCAAATCACAGAACAGTCATGTGATGAAATTTTATATAGCCATGAAATATGATTATTTTGGAAAAATATTTTACGGTAGACAGTAATTTTAAAGACACAAATTTGCATATACAATATAATTTTGATTATGTAAAAATATATAGAAGTAGGAAAAAAGACTAGAAAAAATACACCATATTAAAATGTTTTTCTCTTTACTGGGGGAACAACAGCTAGGTTTTCTTTTGGTTTTATGTATTGCCTCCACATTATACAATGAACATTTATTATGTAATCGGAAAAAAAATTAACATTTTAAAACTGATAGTTTCTAGGTCAGGGGCTAGTATATCACACAAGAACATTTTAATTTCTAAAACAGATTGAGAATTTATATTTACTATACATGAATTTAATTATATAATTTTATTAGTATTAATATGAACAATATTTGTATAGCACAATGCACCTTTATTGCAGAGCTGCCCTATATAATCTGTCACTAAATAAACAAAATAATGATTTACCTAGAAGATTCCCAGAACTACTGTATTATACTTTGTAAAATTAGACAAACTGATATTGACAAGAGTTTGGCTCACGAGGGAATATACTCCAAATACTCAGGTTCTTCTCCATTATTAATTGATCACTGTTTTGTTAAGGCATCTCTTGAACATGAAGAAGGAAAGATTCTGCGTATCCAGCTTGAGTTAAACCAAGTCAAGTCTGAAGTTGATAGAAAAATCGCAGAAAAGGATGAGGAAATTGACCAGCTGAAGAGAAACCACACTAGAGTCGTGGAGACAATGCAGAGCACGCTGGATGCAGAGATTAGAAGCAGAAATGATGCTCTGAGAGTCAAGAAGAAAATGGAAGGAGATCTGAATGAAATGGAAATCCAGCTGAACCATGCCAATCGCTTAGCTGCAGAGAGTTTAAGGAACTACAGGAACACCCAAGGAATCCTGAAGGTAAACGGGTCCACATTCGCCTCCCAGATGAAGCAGGGAAAGTACCTGTCTTCCATTTCCCAAACACCTTGTTAAACGATCCTTTTTTTCTCTTAACAAATTATACAGCTGACCGCACAAAGGTAACTGAATTAAATACACATAGAACATATTATTTTTAAGAAAATGTTATGTAGAAGAACAAACAGATGCCTAGGCATTACAGTATGATATGAAAGAAAGTGAACAGACTTGGGCACCAGACAGGCCTGAGGTTGAGTCTTAGTTTTGTCATTTACTAGCTGCCTGATTTTAAGCAAATTACTTAACCTCTCAGAACCTCTGTTCCTTCTTCAAAATAAGAATGAAACTACCCACCTCACTGAGTTACTGTGAAGATCAAATGAAATAACAGATGTCAAGTCCTGATAGAGCATATGGAAACTGCTCCACAAATGACAGACATTAGTGACTCACACATGACACAGTAACCAGTTAATGGTAGAAATAGAACAAGAATCTATGTCTCCTGATAATTCTCTCTCACCCTAAGCAAATGACCTAACCATAATCAGATGCATTCAAATGACAGGCATATGTCATCTTCTGTTCCTGTCACCAGTACAATCTCCCAGTTCATCTCCTGGGATCTTCAAATCCTCTTCAGAACACTTAAGGCCTTTCTGTTTTTCACTTATTAGGAAACCCAGCTCCACCTGGATGATGCTCTCCGGGGCCAGGAGGACCTCAAGGAACAGCTGGCAATTGTGGAGCGCAGAGCCAACCTGCTGCAGGCTGAGATCGAGGAGCTGTGGGCCACTCTGGAACAGACAGAGAGAAGCAGGAAAATCGCCGAACAGGAGCTCCTGGATGCCAGTGAGCGTGTCCAGCTCCTCCACACCCAGGTGAGACCCTCACATCAAACAAATGCTGGTGTACTGGTAGCTGATGCATTCGAATTATAACATGAAAGTACTCAATTTGTATAAATATGTGTATGTAAACATGGATGGGGGATATGCTCAAAAATACTCATTGCTATTATCTTAGGGTAATTGGTGGATTATGGGTGATTTTTTTTTGTTTTTTTGGTGTGTGTTCCTGTTTCTTTCTTGGGGTTTCTACCCCTCACCAAAAAAAAAAAAAAAAAAAAAAAAAAAAAGCTATTACTTTTTTATTTAAAAATAAGATTTGGCTATTTAGATTATTTTGGAAACCATGAGGTAGAATACTATTGAGTAAAGATACCTGTTGCCTCCAAAATCTGAAAATGTTCCATGCAGTGTTTCTCATTGGTAGCACTTAAGCATTTAGCACTGCTGTGTTCACTGTCCCCATGCCTTACAGCTCATTTAGCATTCCTAACCTGCCCAGGCATTAAATGCAGTAGCACCCCCTAGTCATTTTGACAACCAAAAATATCTGCCCCTAAACATTTTCAAATACCTGTTGAGACGATATTGCTTCTCTCTAGAAACACTGAGTTGAAATCTTAAGAACATGTTTTCATAAGACAAATTCAGTGCTCTCCGACAGAACAAATCATAAAAATTCAGAGAGAATAGATTCTTTCAAAGCAAGAAACTCTCAGTGCCTGCCACTCACAAAACGAATCTATTCTTTTCTATTTCCAACCTTCCAGAGATAGAATAACTAGTGATGTCTGACTGAAATATAATTAAAAGAACAATTAACTAATGTATGCCAATAAAGGCATTCTCAAACCTCAGAAGTCCTTATGCATAAATCAGGTGGACACTGGGGAAGTTGGGGGAAAGGAGTTCCTACCTTGCAAATAATTAACATTTTCCACTGAACAAATAATTAAAGTTTAGTGAAATGTTGCCAGCAGATCCCCTGCACGAACCAACAAGTAAGACACTTGTAAAATCCCAAGAGGGCAAACTGCAAATTTTGTAAATTTCCACGACTACTTTTAACAGAATACCAGTCTCATTAACACCAAGAAGAAATTAGAAAATGACGTTTCCCAACTCCAAAGTGAAGTGGAAGAAGTAATCCAAGAATCACGCAATGCAGAAGAGAAAGCCAAGAAGGCCATCACTGATGTAAGATGAACATTTGGCCTACTGACACGTATGCACCTGCTATCATCAAGTTTCATTACTTTCTTAATTTATTTCCTAAATAGGCTGCCATGATGGCTGAGGAGCTGAAGAAGGAACAGGACACCAGCGCCCACCTGGAGCGGATGAAGAAGAACCTGGAGCAGACGGTGAAGGACCTGCAGCATCGTCTAGATGAGGCCGAGCAGCTGGCGCTGAAGGGTGGGAAGAAGCAGATCCAGAAACTGGAGGCCAGGGTGGGTGTCTCAATCTCTCTAAATCTGGGAAGGGAAAAAGGGCACTCTCTCTACCCTTCTCTCTTCCTACACAAGACTCCCATCCTGTCCTGGGGCTGGGAACACCCACCCCATGCCTTCAGTAGGTCTTGGGCTAATTAATATCCCCCAAGACTGACTGCGTAAGTATTTTTCTTGGCTGCAGGTACGTGAGCTTGAAGGAGAGGTTGAAAATGAACAGAAACGTAATGCAGAGGCTGTTAAAGGTTTACGGAAACATGAGCGACGAGTAAAAGAACTCACCTACCAGGTAAAGGGAATAGCCTTCCAGAATATCCACTCTTCCTGCCCAGAAGGAAATTGAAAACCTTATGACTATTTATTTATATGCCACTCACAAACAAATACGCATTAACTTGGTACATGTAAGGAGTAAAGACAGTTGCTTATCACAGACCTATACTAAAACTTAGGGAGGCCTTCAGATTTCTAAAGTTTAGAAAATAGCATGACAGTAAAGAACACAGATTTTAAAGGCAGATTAACTGGGTATTAGTCCTAGTTTGGCCTCTCTTGCTTCTTGAACTTAACACTCTAAACCTCAGTTTCTTCACCTGTAAAATAGAGATAACAGTGTCTATTTTCCCGGATGGGGAGGTAAGGACTGGAGAGGATGTGTGCAATTCTCTAATACAGTACCTGCACAGTGGAAACATTTACCAAGAGTGCTACTGTTAATTCTATGAAGAAAATCTCAGAGTTGATCAAGTTTACCCCAGGCCCACCTGCCATCATGCCAAATGATTTTATTTTAGTACCCAGAGTAGCCTTATCTCTTCGGAATGAATGCAGATTATTTTTTTCAAACTTTCAGACTGAAGAAGATCGCAAGAATGTTCTCAGGCTGCAGGACTTGGTAGATAAATTACAGGCGAAGGTGAAATCATACAAGAGACAAGCTGAGGAGGCTGTAAGTATCTTTAAGCCCTTGAGGAAAGAAGGAAATTTCTTTTGCAGTAGAAAGTGTTTTAAGAGAATGCGTCAATAAGGAAGAAGACAAAGTGAAAATCTACCACTCATTTTAAGAGGGATGATTTTATAAATATGAATTTGTCCCGCCAAATCCAAATTACAGAATAAGACTTCAAAAGATTTATTTATTTATTTATTTTGACACAGAGCCTCGCTGTGTCACCCAGGTTGGAGTGCAGTGGTGTGATCTTGGCTCACTGCAACCTCTGCCTCCCAAGCTCAAGTGATTCTTATGCCTCAGCCTCTCCAGTAGCTGGGACAACAGGCATGCACCACCACACCTGGCTGGTTTTTGTATTTTTAGTACAGACAGGGCTTCACCGTGTTGGCCAGGCTGGTCTCAAACTCCTGGCCTCAAGTGATCCACCCACCTCGGCCTCCCAAAGTGCTGGGATTACAGGCATGAGCCACCACGCCCAGCCGAGATATTTTTATTATTAAGCAATTTGTAAGGGTTGAGGGGGGCAAGTTCTAAACAGCTCACTTACTTGATAGCTACAAATGATATACAGTAGAAATTCTAATTAATACCATCATAAATATTCCTCTCCCTCTAGACATAGAAAAAATCAAGTTCTCAAAAGCCAAACATCAATCTTTTACCCCACCTGACTTCTTCACTCACCACTAGTGTCATCAGTGGGGGCTCTTGCCCCCACATTTGCTGTAGCTAATATAAGAACATGTTAGAAGATTCTGTACCTATACCCTTCCTGGTTATCCCTCCACTCTTCCAGACACATGTGATAGGTAGGAAGTAAATAGGAAGAAAAGGAAAGAAAAAAGGGAGAGGCATAAATGGCAATGAGTCAATTAACAGAGGAGACTTTCTGTCTAGTCCCATCTTTTCCCTTTCTTTATATACTAGAATCAAAATATATATTAAGTGGTATTTCCCCAATTATAATTTGGCCTTACATTTACTTACTGATGTCTATAAGTGTACATAGGTCTCTTCCTCCTTTCCACACAGAACATAAATCATAAAAGGATGTATGGGCTTTATATGAGGCTGTCTCCTCCACTTCAAAACTCTCCTTTCATTCTTTAAAGTAAAAATTGTAGTTGAAGTTATAAACTCTGTTTAGATTTAAAGTCGGATATGCTAAATAGACCATAAGAAGGAAATACCTGATTTGAGGAACTAATCCTGTCTGGTGATAAGTGCAATGAGAACCACACAGTCTAATTCTCACAATTTTATCTCTATTCTTAGGAGGAACAATCCAATGCTAATCTATCTAAATTCCGCAAACTCCAGCATGAGCTGGAGGAGGCCGAGGAACGGGCTGACATTGCTGAGTCCCAGGTCAACAAATTGCGAGTGAAGAGCCGAGAGGTTCACACAAAAATCAGTGCAGAGTAAACACACCTGCCTGATGCTATCAAGAGGCTGAAGAAAGGCACAAAATGTGCTATTTTTGGTCACTTGCTTTATGACGTTTATTTTCCTGTTAAAGCTGAATAAATAAAAACTACAGTAAATGTATACATTAAACCGGACTTTCATTTTTTCACTTGCAAAGCTATTCATGCTCACAGTTCTCACCTAGCTATTAATATCTTAATATTATATATGGCTTTGCAGAGCATTCAATATTTTATACCTTCAGCACCACCCAACAGTCCCTTTCCCACCTCTTCACCCCCCACCAACACACACACAAATATCTTTTGCTGAGCTTGTTTTTATTATATCTCTCTAGATTGTTACAAATTACTAAGAAAAACACTCCCTGAGGCTGCCCTCTGTATGGGCCCATTCATTTACTCCACAAACGATATTGAGCATCTACTATGTGCATCAATATAATAAATCAATAAATAGTGCCAGCCACTATTTAAGTTTTGTGTGAACAAAATATAGTTTCTGCTCTCTAGAAGCTTATATTCCACAACGAAAGAAAAGCAATAAATAAATTCATAACTATGTAATGAGCCAGATTATAAGTACTAATGGGAAATTAGAAAGTAGGAGGGAAGCATTTACTATTTTTTTTTTTCCGAGACAGAGTCTCACTCAGTCGCCCAGGCTGGAGTGCAGTGGCGCGATCTCGGCTCACTGCAAGCTCCGCCTCCCGGGTTCACGCCATTCTCCTGCCTCGGCCTCCGGAGTAGCTGGGACTACAGGTGCCTGCCACCACGCCCGGCTAATTTTTTGTATTTTTAGTAGAGACGGGGTTTCACCGTCTCAGCCAGGATGGTCTCGATCTCCTGACCTCGTGATCCACCCGCCTTGGCCTCCCAAAGTGCTGGGATTACAGGCGTGAGCCACCGCGCCCGGCCGCATTTACTATTTTATAGACAGTAGTCAAGGAAGGCATCTCTGGTAAGAAGACACTTGAGCAGTGACCTGAAGGAGGCAAGAGGGTAAGCCAAGTGAGTATATGGGCGCACAGCACGTCCAGGCAGAGAAAACAGAAAATGCAAAGGCCCTAAGGCAAGGGCAGGTAGGGAATGTTAGGGGGGCAGGGAGGAGGTCAAGCAGGGCAGGAAGAGACTGAGCAAGATGAGACAGTTAAGGCATAAGAGAGGAACTGAGAGACCAGATCATGTAGGGCCCCTTGGCCACTCTAAGGACTTTTGCCTTTACTCAGAGTGAAGTGGGAAAGCTTTGGAGGGTTTTGAGCAGGGTGATATTAACAAACATTTTAAAAGAATCACTCTGGCTGCTGTGTTGAGAATAAACTAAGGGAGCAAAGATGGACACTGGGAAACTAGTTAGGAGCCTACTGAAAAATAAAGGTTAAAAGATGACAGTGGCAGTTGGGCGCGGTGGCTCACACCTGGAATCCCAACACTTTGGGAGGTCGAGGTGGGCAGATCACTTGAGCCCGAGAGTTCGAGACCAGCCTAGGCAACATAGCAAAACCCCATCTCTACTAAAAATAGAAAAAAAGAAAAAAATTAGCAGGGCATAGTGGCACATGCCTGTAGTCCCAGCTACGAGGGAGGCTAAGGTGGGAGAATCACCTGAGCCCGGGAAGTCAAGGCTGCAATAAACCAAGATCGCACCACTGCACTCCAGCCTGGGAGACAGAGTGAGACCCTGTCTCAAAAAAAAAAAAAAACAAAAAAACTAACAACAACAACAACAATAAAAACCATGACAGTGGCTTAGGGCAGAAAAATAACAACGGGAGACAAAGAGAAGTAGATGGATTCCAGATTTATTGAAGGTAGCTAGCATACATAGGATTGTCAGAGAGATTGGATGAGAGACAAAGTGAAAGAATGAACTTATAAAAGAGGGACAGAAAATAAGACCAAAAAAAGGCTTGATGGAGTAGAACCTCCAGAAAGAGAGGAAGCAGCAGAACAAAAATGAAATCTAGACAAAGACTGTACTTTATTCACTCCTTCCTCTACCTTCTAACATTTACTCTCCCCCAACCTCTAAACCCCTATCACCCTCAATCTTTTCATTATAAATTGTGTAGACCGCAATCTCAAATGTGTCTAAGTTAATAACAAAAGTTTAAAACAAAAAAGAGAAAAAAAAAGTTAAATAATCTCCAAAAAACAAAATTTTGGATCAAAGAGGAAATCAAAACTACAATCATAAGAACATGTAGAAAGAAACAAAAGAAAAAATCTTTGTGACCTCAGCTTAGGCAAAGATGTCTTAGATATGACACCAAAGACACAGGCCACAAAAGAAAAAATTGATCAATTGTACATCATCAAAATGTAAAGCTTCTGCTCTTTGAAAAACACTGTTATAGAGAGAATGAAAAGACAAGCCACAGATTGAAAGTATTTACAACTTATATCCCTGATGAAAGATTTATATTCAGAATATATAAACAAATCTAAAAATCCAGGGAAAAGGTAACAACATAATACTTTAAAAGGCAAAAGGTTTAGACAAACATTTCACTAAACATACAGATGATAAAAAGGCATCTGAAAATCATTCAACATCATGAATCATGAGAAAAATATCAATTAAAACACAGTAAGATACCACAACACACTTACTACAATGACTAAAAGACCAAAGTGTTGGCCAAGAGTCATAATGTAAAATGTTACAATGACTTATGAAAACAGTTTGGCAACTTCTTTAAAAGTTAACAAATTATCTATATGATCTAGCCATTCTATTCCTAGGTATTTACCAAAGAGAAATGAAAGCGTATGTCCACATGAAGACTTGTACACAAATGTTTATGGCACATTTATTTGTAATAGGGGCAAAAACCAAAAAGAAAAACCAAAATATCCATCAACAAATGAATGGGTAACAAATTATGGTATATCCATACAATGAAATACTACTCAGCTATCAAAAGAAACCATTAACACTAAAAAGGGTGAATCTCAAGATAATTACGTTGATTGAAAGCAGCAGCCCCTCCAAAAAGTACATACTATATTATTCTATTTATATAAAATTCTAGAAAATGAAAACTACAGTGATAGAAAGTGGACCAGCAGTTGGCTAGTGATGCAGAGGGAGGGTTTGTAGGGGGCACAAAGAAAGGGTGGAGGGGATTACAAGGGAGCAGGAGGAAATTTGGGAGGGGGGTCCATGAACATGTTCATTATCTTGATTGAGATGATGGTTTCACAGGCATCTATGTATGTAAAAACCTATCAAACTGTGCACTTTTAATATGTGCACTTTTAAATGTCAATTATACCTCCATAAATTTAAAATTCTGCATTAGGGGAAATATCACAATTACAGTACTCTGGGAAGATAATTAGTAATTAGAATACTATATGCCAAACTTTAAAGCCAGAGCTATACTTTTTCACAGAAATTGCATGAAGCCTGTTTATCAGTTTGTTGACATATTTACTATGTTGAATCTTCCAATTCTTAACTACAGTCTGTTTCATTTAATTAGATCTTCTTTTATTTCTTTCATCAGTGTTTGGTAGTTTTCAGCATACAAGCCATATATAAATTTTGTTAGATCTATGTCAAACTTTTTTTTTTTTTTTTTTTTTTTGAGACGGAGTCTCACTCTGTTGCCCAGACTGGAGTGCAGTGGCACAATCTCAGCTCACTGCAACCTCCACCTCCCGGGTTCAAGCCATTCTCCTGCCTCAGCCTCCTGAGTAGCTGGGATTACAGGCGTGCACCACCATGTCTGGCTAATTTTTGTATTTTTAGTAGAGGCAGGGTTTCACCACGTTGGTCAGGTTGGTCTCAAACTCCTGACCTCATGATCCGCCCACCTTGGCCTCCCAAAGTTCTCGGATTACAGCCGTGAGCCACCGTTCCCGGCCTGTCTAACTTCTTTCTTTTTTTAAGTGACTGTAAATGGCATTATATTTCTAATTTTGCTGTCTACATGTTCACTGCTAACATACAGAGAAACAATTGATTTTCTCTTTTTTTCTGTTTTTGTTTTTTGTTGTTGTTGTTGTTGTTGTTTTTGTTTGAGACGGAGTCTTACTGTGTCACCAGGCTGGAGAGCAGTGGCTCACTGCAAACTCCACCTCCCAGGTTCAAGTGATTCTCCTGCCTCAGCCTCCTGCGCAGCTGGGATTACAGGCACGTGCCACCATGCCCAGCTAATTTTTGTATTTTTAGTAGAGACAAGGTTTTACCATATTGGCCAGGATGGTCTCAATCTCTTGACCTCGTGATCTGCCTGCCTCGGCCTCCCAAAGTGTTGGGATTACGGGCGTGAGCCACGGTGCCCAGCCTTCTGTTGCATTTCTTAAGATTTAGATCATAATTGCAACTCTGCTATTCTTAGAACAAAGAATGAGTAAATGTTGCAGTTGGGACAAAAGGGACAGATTTCTCACAGTCATATGTGATAACATAATATGACATCCTTTAAGTTTTGCAATGCAATAATAAAATACATCCTTTTTCACAAAAATGCATGACTTCATCAATATTTTTAAGAGCCTTCCTAATCCTTTGATCCTGAATTCATTCTCGGGAAACATCTATTGGGTCATCATTTTTGTCCATTTTCAGTTCTTCAATTGTTAACTAGTTCAACACTGCTGAATGCACGCTGGTCAATGGCTTTGCAAAACTCAAGCCAATTTTTTTTACTACTTTCACTGACTTCACTAAATTCTGCAACTGTTCCAAGATTTCTCATTTTACTTTGCATTCAACTTAAATTGATTATTGCATATTTACAATACATAATGATCAACAAGATCGTTAGTGAATACTTTTTGTTTTCCTATGCAATATCATTATTGTGAAGGCTCCAATAACAGGGACTCCACTGTTGCAAACTGAAAACTATCTTTAGCCTTTGCCCAGAAAGTCTATTCTATAGATTTAACAATTAAAGATATGCATAAGCATTTATGTACACATATATACTTAGCAGAATATTTTAAAGAACAGAAACTTAGAGCACCCTAAATGCCCAATAATAGAAAATTTGTTATATAAATTATGTTATCTTCAAAGCATGGTACACTACGTAACTATTAAAAATCATAATCTAAAAGAATAGTTAATATCATGAGAAAATTTTAAAATGTGTTCTAAAAGCAGAATACAAAACAGTGCTTGCAGACTGATATCTCAATTGTGTATGTGTTTAAGAATACATAAAAATTGGCCAGGCGTGGTGGCACATGCCTGTAATCCCAGCACCTTGGGAAGCCAAGGTGGGCGGATCATGAGGTCAAGAGATCGAGACCATCCTGGCCAACATGGTGAAACCCCATCTCTACTAAAAATACAAAAATTAGCTGGGCATGGTGACACACCTGCAGTCCCAGCTGCTCCAGAGGCTGAGGCAGGAGAATCACTTGAATCTGGGAGGCAGAGGTTGCAGTGAGCCGAGATCGCACCACTGCATTCCAGGCTGGCGACAGAGCGAGACTCCATCTAAAAAAAAAAAAAAAAAAAGGAGCTGGATACCATCCTGGCCAACATGGTAAAACCCCGTTTCTACTAAAAAATATTAAAATTAGCTGGGCATGGTGGCACTCGCCTGTAGTCCCAGGTACAGGGGAGGCTGAGGCAGGAGAAACACTTGAACCCAGGAGGCGGAGGTTGTAGTGAGCCAAGATCGCACCACTGCACTCCAGCCTAGCAACAGAATGAGACTCCGCCTCAAAAAAAAAAAAAAAAAAGAAAGAAAAAAGGATACATAAAAACATGGAAAAAAATGTGAAAGGATTTAAACCAAAATTTAGGTAGAGATGACTTCTATGCTAAAATTTTAGGCAAGATTTAAAATTTTCCTTCAGTATGTTTGATTATGTTTTTCAATGTGTGTACTATTTTTGGAATTCTTTTAAAGGCTCATGTTTTTAAAATAAATAAAAGTAACCTGCCTCTTAAGATTTCATATCCACTTCTCATCAAAGACGTGGATATAACTGACAACAGTAAGGTGAAGAGAGGGTCGTTTGATGGATGAGATCATTAGCACAGCTGCTAAAAGCTGTTGCCTGTCATCCAAGCTCTCTGTAAGGATTAACATTCCAGGACTGACACACAGCAGCTGTCAGTAAGCAAACTTAAATTCTGCCTCCTGGCTGTGGCAGAGGTTTGGGCACATGTTCCACATATCGGTGTCCCTAGGAACCGTCATCGCAGACTCCATCGGTCACATTTTCCAAAGCGAGAAGCTGAAGAATCAGCCGTGGGCAGATGGAAAGAACCTTGCTTAAGGATAGAATTTGCCAGCCTGATTCCTCCCTCCTAGTTCCAAGGGCCACTAAGATGCCGCTTCCGGAGGCCGCAAGAAAAAAGAAAGCCTCTCCATGGTGAAGGAGAAAAACATCTCCCTTGGGGAACACACCCAAAACAGGGCTTCTCTTAGATTCCAATAGGCTGACCTTCACAAGAGGGCAAACTATCTTCTCAGCTCCTCACAGAAACTATGGCTTGTGGCTTTCCTGGGGAAACTGAGGTACTGCGCAGTGTGAAGGCTCAAAGTATGAGAAATTATGTTTAAAACATGGATGGGAAAGGTAGTACCTTCTGAGCAACAAAATCATCACTTTTTCCACTATTTGGAAAAATAATTCAATTGGTACCCACGGATTTGAGTATCTGAACCTGACTTTATATAAGAATATATGTGTAGCCGGGTGCGGTGGCTCATGCCTGTAATCCCAGCACTTTGGGAGGCCGAGGCGGGCGGATCACCTGAGGTCAGGAGTTTGAGACCAGCCTGGCCAACATGGCGAAACCCCGTCTCTACTAAAAGTACAAAAATTAGCCAGGCGTGGTGGCGGGTGCCTGTAATCCCAGCTACTCAGGAGGCTGAGGCAGGAGAATCACTTGAACCCGGGAGGTGGAGGTTGCAGTGAACCCAGATCACGCCACAGCACTCCAGCCTGGCGACAAGAGTGCTACTCCGTCTCAAAAAAAAAAAAAAAAAAAAACAGGAATATTTATGTGTACCACATGTACAACATAATAATATGGCTATGTATGCACTGAAAATTTTCAAACGGGCTTTGTTGACAAGAATTTTAAATTTTCTGTCTGGCCCAGTCAGTCATGGGACTTGCCCTCAAATGCCCTCTCCACACTCAATTTCATACCCTCCCCACCACACAGTCCTTCACGGATCTACTGTCTGGAATTACACAGCACAAATAAATCGCGGGGACGAACAAGGTCCTGCTCACTCGCAAACTCTTAAATGCACACTTACTGGCCAGGTCCCAGTACGGCCTCCAGGCCTGCCGCAGCTACGGCAGGAGTCACTTCTGGCCTTTCCTTCCCACAGACTGACCCTTCCCATGATGCCCTGGGACGCACCGGAAGTGACTCCCCTCCTCTCTGGACAATTGAAAACATCGTTTCTCTCCTGTAGTGCCAGGGTGTCTCCTTCAAAGCACACTGTGGCTGTCTTTTTTTTTTTTTTTTTTTTTTTGAGACAGTTTCGCTCTTATTGCCCGGGCTGGGGTGCAATGGCTCGATCTCGACTCACCGCAACCTCCGCGATTACAAGCATGCGCCACCACGCCCGGCTAATTTTTGTATTTTTAGTAGAGACTTGGCGTTTCTCCATGTTGGTCGGCTGGTCTCGAACTCTCGACCTCAGGTGATCCGCCGCCTCGGCCTCCCAAACTGCTGGATTACAGGCGTGAGCCACCGCGCTCGGCGCACTGCTGCCGTCTTTTGACGCATTATCAGCACTTTGACCCACTCCCTCCCCCCCACAACTAGATCATAGTTGTTGAGAAAACAAACTTTCTCTTCAGTTCCCGAAAAAATGTCTTCATTAGCCTTCTGTTGAATGAAGAGCAGACATTCAATAAATTTTGTTGGACAGAATGAACCAATATTGAGTAGAAAAAGAGCAGTTAACAGATCCAACACTCAACACAGAAAAAGGAGGAAAAAAACAGCCTTTATAACAACAGCTGACATTTGAAACCCGAAGTCCTTACCTTAATTTCCAAGGCTCTAAACCATCTGGCTCTTGCCTACCTCTGCCACTACATTCCCTACTACTGGTTCACTCTGCCCCACTGGCCCACCATCTCCCAGAGCGTTTGCATTTGTTTCCTCTGCCTGAAATACTGTCGCCCTTTGATATTTTCATGGCTTACTCATTCACTTCACTAGGTGTCTGCTCAAATATCACCTCTTCAGAGAAACTTCCCCACACAGCCACTGTTTCCTTATCCTGCTTTTCTTTCCTTCAGAGCATTTATCTTTAATTGATATATCTGTTTGTGACTTTATCTATTTTGTTCTCCAGTACTTAAAATCCTCCCAGCATATGGTAAGGTTTCAACGAATGTTGAATGAATGAATGCATGTTTACCATGTTGCTAGCTCTCTGCTAAGCCCTATGTATGTATTACAGTTTTGCAATTAACAGTTCCAGGTGGGAATTTCATCATCATTGTAGCTTGGATCATTCTAGAAGATCTCAAACTGATTCCATCTATCCTTGTCTTGGTCAGGCTTGTCTTGTCAGGAGGTTGCAGTGAGCCGAGATCGTGCCATTGCACTCCAGCATAGTGACAGAGTGAGACTCCGTCTCAAACAAACAAACAAAAAAGAATACATAAAAACATGGAAAAAATGTGAAAAGATTTAAACCAAAATTTAGGTAGATATTTTGAGGACTTTGCCATGATACCCTCCAACAACCTATCAGGTATAGTGATGAATTTACCACCACTTGCCCAAGACAGTCCTGGTTTTAAAATGGAAAGTTTCAAGAACTCCCTTAGCCCCAAACAAATTGGCATGGTTGGTCACCTACTTTCAGATATCCAGGCTCCTATCTTCCCTGTTTTGTTTTACTGCTATGTGGGGAGGAATGAATCTACACAGAAAATTGGCTACATATACTGGGTAGAATGAGAGGACTAAAAAGACAGTGGACAGGCTTTGGCAGCTGGTGGGCCTCACCAGACAGCAGCATCAAAGACATGAACAACATTGGAGACATTGACTTGGCTCCCAAAGCCCTCTGCCACTGTCAGTGGTTGGTGCGTTCACCGAAGAAAGCTCATGTTTTTCAAAATCACAAGGTTCTCTGTTGACATAGCCTCAACCACTCTCCCCTTTCCCAAACTATCATGTCACATCCAAATAGTAACCTGCCATGCATTCATTAATTCACTTAATTGCCACAAGAACCTCCTGAGTTACTGTTAACATTCCCATTCTACAGGTGAGAAAACTGAGGCTGACAAAGATTAAGTAACTTGCCCAAATTCAAGTAGCTTAAATAGTGAAGTCAGAATTTGTGACCCAGCATTCTGATTGTCAAGGTCCATTCTTAGTGACTGCATTATCATGCAGATTTTAATGATATAAGTACATACTTTTACTGCATCCAACAAGCTTTTTTAGGACACATTAAGACCTCAGTGGTAGTAGTTAAAAGTAATCAATCATGCTTTCCTTAGCTCTAATGAGGTTTTAAGCAGCTGAAGTAACCAAAACACAGCAAATAGACCCCAAGGTAGGAAGCAAACAGCAGGAGATCCTAACTCTCACAGACATGAGTCAAAGCTATGAAGCCAGGCTGGAAAGTCTCCAGTTTACTGAACAGACCTAGCTGGTAGGATTTTTTCTCTGAACACAATGTTCTCAGGTCATCCACACAATCTCTTCATGTTATTTTCGGTGAAGGATGCCTAGTTTATGTGTAATTCTGAGAAGCATGTATAATTCTGATAGCATTAGTGTCTTACAGGATCTTGTAAAGCCAGAAGCAGCTGTCTTCAAGTGAAAATACAAACTGGACTTGGAGTCAAAAGATGTTTGTTTTAGCTCTCACTCTGCCACTTATTAGCCGTATGGTTAGTCATTTATCCTCACCAAGCCTCAGTTTTCCCACCTACAAAACTGTGATAAGTCTCTTTTCTCATTGACATTTAATAATCAATTTAAATAATGCTTTTGATAACCCCTATGAACTTTTTGCTTTGCACATTTTCAGTATATAAATACCAGCAGTGAAGAAGTTTATATATTCTATTTGAAAGAGTTCCAAACTTGCTCTGTTGAGTTTGAGAGTAGAATGGAGAGGGGACTAATTTTATGCTTAGCATGAATTAGATAAACTGTCTAGAACCTCAATTTCTGATTCTGTAAGGTAGGAGTTACTTTAGACAATATTCAAAGCCTCCTTTAGTTCCAGAATCTATATTATCATTCAAATCTTTAGTTAGGCAATTCAAATATGAATGGGGGCCATTCACCAATGTGACTTTCACTCAGAAATTTCTGTTCCTGGCTGGAAAACGTCCTGCTGCTTTTTGAAATTTCATCTGTTACATAAGCCCTGAGATAGCCTGAGTTGTAAGGGGTGAGGTATGATCCCACTATTAGCACAATTAATTGCCCTTTCTTCTCAAGTAGCCTTCTGAGGAGTGACCTCAATCACACTTTTTTTCCTAGTCTTATTTGGCCTTGCTACTGCCTCCTTCTTCCCACTGCGCTATCCACATTGACATTTCCTCTGAAAGCATCTTAAATAGTGATTTGTGAAGAGATGTGTCCCTAGGAAAATCAGAAAAACTTTTTCCTCCTCCTTAACACCTGCTCATTCCTTAATCCCTTCTGCCACCCCCACCATCCTGCTGACATTGCTGTCAGGATCACCTCCCTGGCCAATCCAATGCCCTGTTCCTGGTCCTCTCTTTCTCCAGCTTCTCTGTAGCACTCTTCATGATAGCCTCTCTCTTGAAAATATCACTTCCCTTGACTTATTTTGACACTAATAATAAAGTTACCTTCACTTTTGAGTAGACGAAATGATTTTGTAATAAGACTGAAGAAAATTTCCAGTCATAGAACTCCTCTCAGGTTTGAGAGAGGTGGGCTGATAGTGTGGGGTGGGAGCTGTGGACTTGGGGGAATAGTGATGAAATAGAGATGATGAAACCCCAAAACAAGGAATCTCTCAGAGGTGATGGATATGACTATTACCTTGATTATGGTACATGCATATGTCCAGACTCATAAAATTGTGTGCTTAAGTGTGTATAGCTTTTTGTATATCAATTATGCTTCAATACAGCTGTAAAAAAAAGAAAGAAAAAGATGAGTCCCTTTCCCCCTGAAAAAGGGCCTATATGAATAAAAATAGGTGGTGACCAAACTTGTTTCTAAAGATGAAAGTGGTCTTCTTTATTTGATGACTTTTATGTTGCTGAGTAACCAGAAGAGTAGAAATGCATGTCTATGGCAGAGCTAAATGATTCCACATAATAGAGGATCAACTGAGTACCCTAGGGGTGCAGAGAAATTCCTGAAAGGAAGAAAGGAAAAGACATCCAGCATCAGTGTAAAGAAAAAATGGACTTTGTAGAACAGACATTTCTGATGGAAACAGATAATGTATTCTGAGGTATGTAATATAATCCTCTTCTATGTCTCCCCTAAAATATCTTTGGTAAATTCTGCATTGCTCATTTAGATTTTGGGGGATGGTGGATTATATGCTGAGACCAGGTCAGGGTGGGTGGACATGAAAATGTACAGTTTGGGATGGGATAGAAGCAGACTGCACACAGAGATAGCCACATCTAGATGGCATAGACAGGATTTCATTAGGTCCCTGCATCATTCTCGTGACTTGGACAGAAACAGAAAAATTTTTTCTGATTTTGCAGCTGAAGGGGAAAGACTCCAGAGTTGCTAAGAGAAGGGAGGGGGGCTCACCCCAGTCAGAAAATGGCAGAAGTAAGCTGGGGACTCTCTCAGGTCTTCTGACTCCAGCAAGATCTTACTGCTTCTCACTTGGTATTTGCTTACTTGCAGAATGAACCTCGTTTATTTTTATTTACTTTTTTCCTCCTTTTCTGTTTTCATTTCCTCTTCCCATGTCCGCAACACCTAGCCTTCCTGTGAGCGCTAAACTTTCACAAGAGTTTAAATTATCACCTCTAGACAAATGATATCCCCCAACATAGAGGATGACATCTCTAGCCTTGACATCTCCTTTAAACTTTGAACCCTTATCTCTGCCACATCATCTCACGCTCAATATGTCCAAAATCGACACTCATCTTTCTCCAGTTCAGTGTCTCCTCTGGGCTGGTGTCGTGGCCCTAGATTCCAGGCTGAAATGAGGTCTGCATGACAGGCAGGATCCTTTGACGACTCCTCGCCCCCCAAACTCGGCAGTCATCAAAGCCCTTTGGGTCCTGCCTTTAGGGGACCTCTTGAGTTTTCTCTCCTTCCTTTTGAACTTCATTTTTATTCTCTGTAATTGAGGCCCTCTTCATTTTACACCAATTTTTTAAAAATTTTTTCTGCAAACACTTAACTATGATGACTTAACCATGATTTTTTTTTTTTTTTTTTTTTTTTTTGAGACGGAGTCTCGCTCTGTCTCCCAGGCTGGAATGCAGTGGCGTGATCTCCACTTACTGCAAGCTCTGCCTCCTGAGTTCACGCCATTCTCCTGCCTCAGCCTCCTGAGTAGCTGGGACTACAGGTGCCTGCCACCATGCCCGGCTAATTTTTGTGTGTGTGTATTTTTAGTAGAGATGGGGTTTCACCGTGTTAGCCAGAATGGTCTCGATCTCCTGACCTCGTGATCCGCCCGCCTAGGCCTCCCAAAGTGCTGGGATTACAGGCATGAGCCACCGCACCTGGCCGATTATTTTTTATATTCAGTGTAAGTGATTGTTAATATACACTGAGTAGATTTTAATATATTGATATAATATGGGGTAGAGCCTCAAAAAATAAGCCTAGAACTCACAAAGGTCTTAAATGGGCCCTAATATACACCTCTTTTTTTTATTTTTTTGAGATGGAGTCTTGCTCTGTCACCCAGGCTGGAGTGCAGTGGTGCAATCTCTGGCTCACTGCCACCTCCATCTCCCAGGTTCAAGAGATTCTCCTGCCTCAGCCTCCCAAGTAGCTGGGATTACAGGCACTTGCCACCATGCCCAGCTAATTTTTGTATGTTTAGTAGAGATGGGGTTTCACCATGTTGGCCAGGCTGGTATCGAACTTCTGACCTCAAGTGATACACCTGCCTTAGCCTCCCAAAGTGCTAGGATTACAGGTGTGAACCACCACACTTGGTCCCTAATACACACTTCTTTTACCACTTGGGGTTTGAAATTTCACTGTTCCTGCTTTGCCTAAATGGGACAGTGTAGAAGAAAAACTACAAGCCCACGCAATGCTCTTCTCCCTGACTCTGCATGGCAGAATCAGAGCCACCAGGGCTGGACTCAGAACCACCAGCCACCAGGACTCACAACCACTGCGAAAGCCACCCTGCGGTGCTGTGGGGAATTTTAACACAGATCTGAAAGCGCAGGGGCATTGAGGGGTAAAGTCTAAGCATCTAACAGCCTGCCTGCCCCCACGAGTCATCAGAACCTGTCCAATCATCTAGGGAAGTTTTACACCAAGATTTTTTCAATAGTCACAACTTGCTTCTAGGCCGCCAGGTTCTCTTGCCACCATTACATCATATCACCAGTTCTAGACTCATCTTCAAATACATATGTGTGTGTGTGCGTGAGTGTGCATGTGTGCGTGTGTGTGTGTGTGTAATCTGCCCACTTTCCTGCTCACAAACCTCAAAAGGCCTCCCAGTGATCTCGGAATAATGCCTGACTCCTTTCCTGGGCACTGAAAATCCATCACAAATAAGCACAGCCCACTTCTGCCTTCACCTCCGTATTACCCCCGACCCCACCCCAGTCCTGTGCTGTGGCCTGGCTCTCCCAGTTGACCTTCCTAAAATATCCTGGGAAGACTTGTTTCCAAGCAATGATCCCTCAGTTCCCTAAGCCTAGAACCTCCTTCCTGTTCCCCTCACCCAGTTAAAAGTCTGCCTCCTTTAAGGGACAGGAGAGACTAGGGGAAAAGGCGTGGCTTTGGAATCAGAAATCCTGGATTTCAGTTCTGGTTCAATTGCGTACTAGCTGTGGGGCCTTTTAGCCAATCCTTTACCCTTTTAGGCCTCAGTTTCCCCATTTAGACCGTGGGAATAATAATAATATGAATCGTATAAACCTCTCAGCCTGGTAGAGAAAAATAAACATAATAAAATATATAAAATCGTCATCTAAACCAAAAAGTACTAAAAGATTATTATTATCTACAGTCACTACTTCTGTCCAGATCTTTTCCCTCCTTCAAAATAAATAAAATGTTATTATTATAACAATTCTGCTAATATTTTATATATACAACACACTTTATGGTTTTTCAAATACCTTGTACATACGTCGAATCCACTGTCCACAATCCAATCAGTTTAGGATAGTTTCATCTGGGAAAGTGATTTATCCTTTTCATGTCTATGCACTTCTCTTCCCATCTGCATTGTCAGCTCCTTTGGGGCAGTGATCTTAGCTCATACCCCTGTTCCCCATTCCCAGCACAGAGTCTAATACCAAGTAGGCACTCAAACATGATGCATTTCCAAAAACGAGATGTTACAGGCATAGGCTCTAGAGCCAGAGAGCACTTGAAACTCATTTCAGCTGCTGACTAGTTGTATGGCCTTGGGCAGATTGCTTAAACTCTCAGTAGTTGTATAATAGAAATGATATTAGCACCTACCTCACAGGACTATTATAAAGCTTCAGTGAATCAATATGGATAAAGCCTGGCATGTGGTGAGTTCTTAAGTCTTTTTTCTTTTCTTTCTTTCTTTCTTTTTTTTTTTTTATGTGAGATGGAGTCTTTCTCTGTTGCCCAGACTAGAGTGCAACGGTGCCATCTTCACTCACTGCAACTTCCACCTCCTGGGTTCACGCGAGTCTCCTGCCTCAGCCTGCCAAGTAGCTGGGAATGCAGGTGTGCACCACCACGCCTGGCTAATTTTATTGGTATTTTTAGTAGAGATGGGGTTTCACCATGTTGGCCAGGCTGATGTCAAACTGCTGACTTCAAGTGATCCACCCGGCTCGGCCTCCCAAAGTGCTGGGATTACAGGTGTGAGCCACTGCACCCAGCCTAGTTCTTAAGTCTTAATTATTACCATTAAATGAAACTCAGAGTCTGATTCCATTCTTTTCTTATCACTTCAGGCCTTTCAACACATGAGTCAGGATGACTCCCCTATGAGTCATCTTGATTCATTTATTCACCAGGACGAACATTTACTGAGCATCTGCTACATGCAAAAGGCTGCACCTCAAATAAAAGCAACTGTGCTTAGGGCTGATCACTCTCGGTTGCTTTCTTCTGGGCCAGAACTTTGCTATGGATTATGTCCTTCAGCCTTTCCTCTCTTGTTTTCTGGAACAGGAAATAAATAAGTTTGTGTTCCAACATCAAATCACCTAGGGAAGTTCCAGGTCTAAAAAAAAAGTATTCATATTTCTTTACTGAAGGGCTTCTCACATCCCTTAATATGCTAATATTTATGATGAATCTCTAACAGGAGGGAATAGAGTTTAACACATTTCTTAAGCTCATTTAACCACAGGACCATTTATTTCGAAGCGACCCTCCCAATCTGCATTCTGTCAAATCTACTTTAGAAAATACTTTGTGGAAGCCAGGCTCATGCCTGTAATCCCAGCACTTTGGGAGGCCAAGGCAGGCGGATCACCTGAGGTCGGGAGTTCGAGACCAGCCTGACCAACATGGTGAAACCCCGTCTCTATTAAAAATACAAAATTAGCTGGGCCTGGTGGCACATGCCTGTAATCCCAGCTACTCGGGAGGCTGAGGCAGGAAAATCGCTTGAACCCACAAGGCGGAGGTTGTGGTGGGCGGAGGTCGCGCCATTGCAATCCAGCCTGGGCAACAAGAGCAAAACTCTGTCTCAAAAAAAAAAAAGAAAGAAAGAGAAAGAAAGAGAGAGAAAGAAAGAAAGGAACGAAAGAAGGAAGGAAGGAAGGAGGGAGGGAGGGAGGGAAGGAAGGAAGGAAGGAAGGAAGGAAGGAAGGAAGGAAGGAAGGAAGGAAGAGAAAATACTTTGTGGAAGTCCTATCTCTACCTGCTCCTCCTCTGGTCTAAAATTCACTTTGATTAATGCAAACTATCTTTTGGAAATGCCCTACCTACATGAAATTCTACCCACTGGAGACTGATTAAGGAAACTTTGATTCAACAAACACTGATTATATACAATTTAAACAGATCACACTGTATTGCAGTAAATGGCTCTAACTTCTACATATACAGTTGTTCCTACATAGTCAAACATCACTTATATTTTAGCAAAAAATAAAAAAACTCCTAAGTAACTATAATTGTCACAAAGTCCACGTATTTTCATTAGAACCCACTAGAGCTGCACTCAGAACTTATTTACTCTTACTTTAGCCTGATCTTAATTTTGTAATCTCTTTCCCAATCAATAATACAAAATCAGGCTAGTAAAGACAAACTTACCACAGAAAGAAATTATACCTGAGAGGCTGGCCATGAAGGCAAAGACAGAAAATCTAAAAAGTAAGGCCAAGTGTGGTGGCTCACACTTGTAATCCCAGCATTTTGGGAGGCCGAGGCGGGAGGATCACTTGAGGTCAGGAGTTCGAAACCACCCTGGCCAACATGGTGAAACCCTGTCTCTACTAAAAATATAAAAATTAGCTGGGCGATTATAGCACATGCCTATATATAACACATGGGATTATAGCACATGCCTATAATCCCAACTACTTGGGAGGCTGAGACAAGAGAATTGCTTGAACCTGGGAAATGGAGTTTGCAGCGAACCAAGATCACGCCACTGCACTCCAGCCTAGAGGAGAGAGCAAGACTCTGTTTCGATAATAATAATAATAATAAATAAAAGTATACACCAAAATTCACAGCAGGAACAATTAGTGCAGGCATGATCCACTAAGAACCAGATCCTTGATGACTTTATTATATCATCTCCCAGACCCCCAGAGTGATCAAGAAAAACTTAAATTCTATTCAAGATAGTAGGTTACACAGAGCAGGATAATGTAAAATACATTTTGGAAAGCTTTTCTTCCAGTAGATTTTTAAACAAACAAATACATAAATAAGACTGGATGTGTTAAAAGGTCAACCTTAAATTTCCAGAGATTTCTGAGATGAGAAGCACACCATCCCATACCAATGCTGGGTAAATGAGGTGTAGTTACTGTCCACACTACTGATCACCCATTGCTTGACAAAGCATCCTGTGGTTCTGCCCTTCAGTGACCTTCTTAGCACACTCTGCTCCAGTTCCACTCAGCCCCTAGGACTCTCTAAGTCTCAAAGATCTGTGTCCAACGTCAAAATCCCTATGCAGCTGACTTGGCATTATGCAGCCTCCACTGGTCATTTATCCAAGTAACTTAACAAGAGTGAGAGATCAGGGCTACGACGCATTTACATCTAACAAGTAAATGGTGCTCCCCCAAATATAGCCAAGTTAGAGTGCTGGGCTGGCAGATTTGGGAGTATAAAGAGAGCTGGGGGGTCACACTCCTGAAATTGCTGTGACCGCAGCATCTCTAGGTAAGTGCTCACAAGTGCTCACTTTTTTGCTCCACGTAGCTATAGTTGCACCTGATCAGGTTACCAGTCAAGGGGGGAAGACAATAAAGTAGCCTTTACGGAGGGCCTACTAAGTGCAAGGTCTTGTGTTGAGGGCAAGGTTGGAGACAAGATGGAAAGACAAGACAACTGCCTTTCAAGAAACTTTTACAAGGGGTGAAAAGACAAGAATATAAGCAATTATAAGACAAAAAATATTCACCTGCAGAACAAAACTGAGTATAATGCATGATTCCTCCTCTGATTATTTAGGTCAATGTTATACTGTTCAGTTAGCAAATTAACTTGGTAACTTGTGGTATCTCTTCTGTGATTGCTTAAGCTATTATTTGAAATTTTTATGTTTATTTAATTTGTTTCCCATGTCAGGATTTCTGAAAAATGGTTGTGGGAGGAAATAATCCCAAGCATCTTACCCATCTTACAAAGTGTCATAGTCTGATATGAATTGACTGGTTTGCAGACTGTTCTCACATGGCATATTTTATGGACTTGGGACTGGACTGTGTCTGACAGTGCAATAGCATCCCTCAGAGATTTGTGATACTTTGAATTCAGGCCACCATCTCTACGGAGAACTGTCTGTTATAGACTCATAGGGCTGAAAGGAATCTTGGAGATTTTCTGGTGCATCTGATTCATTTTACGGAAGGAAACAGAAACCCAAAGAAATCATACCAGCTACTTAACAGAACTGATATTAGAATTTCTGTAGCTCTGCCTCCATATTTTTTTAAATTGAGGATTCAGAATATAGTATGTAATACTTTAATTTTTTAAGAAATTGTGAGAATTTTAGGATATAACTGGAGATTATTTAAGATGCATTAAAGACGGAGAAGGAAGGAGGCAACAAGGATAGTAAACCAAATCCTAAGTGTCTGTTCCTGCCTAAATAGGGCTTCATGAAATATTCCCCTGGCTCCATAAAAGCACTGAATGGTAATTGGGAAGTTTGCTTAGATTACATTTGATATTGAAAATTTTTCAGACACTCATGCCTCCTTGAGATAGCCACGTAGTTTATAAACTCCTAGAGCTGAGATTCCTTAGTCCCAGGTGACTTTTCAGCTGCCCTACCTTCATCATCTGCAGGAGGAATTTAGAGCATTGAAGAGAATAAAGAAGTCTTTGTCCACAATTTATAACTTTTCTCCTATTGCCAAAAAAAGGTGACTGCCCCTAAGCATCCAAGCTGCAATCTGGAGCATTCCCCTCCCTACTTTCTTTCTTCCCTGACCCCTCACAGCCCCCCAGTCAGAAGCGGTTTCTCTAAGTTCCCATAGTACTTTGTTTAGACTCCTTAAAAATTTGTCTTAATCCTGTTCAAAGACTTACTTGAGCATTCTCTTATCCCTTACTAACTTTTGCATTCCTATAGGGCAGATACTGTACTTTCCTCTTCATACCCCCTTAAGGAGCTGACACAGTACATTGTACACACAGAAGTTTCTCAAGAGAGTATTAATTAAATGTTGTAATTAACCAACTATTTAAAGAATAATGATTTTAATCAAAAGTAAAAATTCAAAACAGCAAATTTATTTCATTCCACACCATCTACTGTGTATCTATTTAAGGTAGATAAACTGGAACAAACATGGTTTCTATATTTATTTAAACTCTTTGTAGCTCATTTGGGTTTTTTTGGTTTGTTTTTTTTTCTCAAATTATCCCCAGGAAGACGCTTTATTCCTGAAGGACACTGACTGTCACTTGGGAACCAAGAAGGTAAGGGTTATTTTCAGCTTGATCATGAATGCAATCATTGAAATTAGCAAACATCATTTTACACGTTCTCATTCTTGCCACACTCATAAGAAGACGAAATTGATGAGTTTGAAACCAATAACTTAACTATTCTTAAAGGTAGATTTTAAAATATATACAGGTTTTACCAAAGGAAGAATGGCTTCTCCTATTTGCTCATTACACTGAAATGTACGAAATATAATGCAGAATTTTGACATACAAGCTCCAAGTCAATACACAGTACTTAGTTGGCACAGAACATGATGTTCATAGGGTCCAAATGCAGTCTTCACACAAAGGCTAACTTTGCTGCTCCTTGAGCAGAGTCTGCACCCATGAATCCACACAGCTGCACCTTCCCTCACGTGTAATACTGAAGGAATGGGGAGGGATCCGTTCAATCCTATGCCCGGTGCGGTAATAAAAACCCTATCCCCTTAAAACGTGTGTTTATTAGAGGTAGTTCTAGATGAATTGGGACCAAAAAAGCCAAGCTGTCATTGAATCATGAGCACATCATTGCTGACAAGACACAGTAGCGGTGAAATTCCCAGGAGAGGGATGAAAGTTGAGAGTAGTGTCATGGTACACAGAGGGTAAACAGAGAGAGAGGAGCCCTCACAAGTGGGTGATGGAGATTAGGCAGGCGGGGGTAGTCATCTCAATTAGAAGGCCCTTAAAGACAGGAACAGAGTGGTTGAAGGGGCACAGCTATGCAACGTTGGAAGCAGGTCCTGCTCTTGGAACAGAGAAGAGGCTAATTAAGGAAACTCTAGAGGGTGGTGCTCAGTGGGCAGCATGAGTCATGCCTAGAGACTTGGGTCAGATCTAACAAGGTGAAGTTTATCAGTCAAAAATGAATGGTCTTCCCCTGGGTCCCAACTCACAGTTGCACAAATATAGGGAGAAGATCTGACTTAGCAACTGCATGCACGGAGAGGATTGAGGGGCTTTGCTCGACACGGAGTGGTGCGTCAGCAGTGTGAGACGTGGCTGCCAACAGGCAATCACCACCTCAAGCATGACACCTAGGTCAAGAGAGGTGAGGGCACACTCCAGTGGAGGGTGACATGTGGTTTGGATATCACACTTTAAAAGATTAACAGGAGTGGGTTCAGGGAAGAGTGACTGAGATGGTAAGGGATTCAAAAGCACATCATAGAAGAACCAGTGGAAGTTGAGGCTATTTAGCATGGAGAAGATAAAGCTAAGCAGAACACAGAACAGCCATCAAAAGGGTGAAGAGTTGTCACGTAGGAAGGTTTGAACTCTTTCTGCTGTTCAAATGGAGAACAAATGGAGAGCCAGATTTTAATTTAAAGCAAGAAGAATCTTTGGCCTATCAAAGGGAAAAGAGTTGTGCCTAAAAGTATCCAACTAGGTTAGATGCACCATTGCAGGAATATGGAGGGATAACTCAAACATCATCTAGGTAATACTACTAGGAGATACTGGGTTCTGAGTCACGGTTAGAGTAAATGAAGGGAGAAAAAATCTCTACTTGAAAACTGTCAGTGAGGCCCACAGGGAAAAGCCTTGTTTTTCCAGGAGGACTAAAAATATGGCTCAACTATCAGCTATGGCAGCCTTTCCCTGACTTCAGACTTTATTCTCCTATTGCCATCACAAGTTTTGCAATAGCCATGTTAACACCAATACTGTCAATTTACTTAATATTTGTATTTACATTGATTCATTTTCTTTTCTTATTTGTTTTTAAAGTTACCTTATATTCTTGCTGTATCAGCATTAGCTGAGAAATTTGTAAGATATTTAAAAGCTCAAACCCAACTCCAGACCTAGTGAATATTCACAGTAGGATTCATATGCCCATTTAAGTTTGACAAACACTGATTTATATCATAGAATACATGGATGTAGCACGCTTCCTAAGTGTTAAACAAATATTACCCTATTTCCATCAATTCTGATTTTTTTATATTTTTTACAAATTTATCCCTGAAATGAGGATGCATATTACAATCTATGAAAGAAGCATTGCAGTTTAAATTAGCTGCATTTTTTTATTTGTGGAAGTTATAATTGATGGCAAATTTTGATAAAATAAGGTAATAGGCTTTAAAATAAGCATACAAATATTAAATTAAGAAATATTTGCCTAAAATTATTTTGTGTACAAGCAATGAGACTGTGCCATGGTTTTGGCTTTAGAAAAACAGAGTAGTTTCATACAAGCAAAGTAATGCTTTAAATCAGTAGTTCCCAAACATCTCTCTGAGGACCTTATCAAAAAATCAGATTCCCTGGTCCCAGCCATAGAGATTATGTTGCAGAGGGTTTTGAAGTAAATCATCTTCCAACACTTTTGGGTATCATGCTTAACGCTAAGTCAAGCTACATATTATAAGGTCGTAAACCTGTAACCAGTCAGGATTCCCTTATGCAATAGGGCAGCCATTCTCAAAGTGTGGTCTGTGGGTTCTTGTAGAGTCCCAAGAACTTTTTAGGAGGCACTTGAGGCTAAAACTCTTTCACAATAATACCCAGCTGTTATTTGCCATTTTCACTGCATGAGTGATGCAAAAGCAAGGATGAATAAATGGCTGGTACCTTATTACAAATCAAGGCACCGCACCAAACTGTATTAGTAATTACTGTATTCTTCACTACCATACACTTGCACTAAAAAGTTTCATTAACAATTTTATGTGATGAAATGGGAAGTCCACCAAAGTTTGATGGTTGTCTCCTGGAAAAGCACATGTGCATTTGTGTGAGTTGCAAGCTGAACTGGCCATTTTATTCATAAAGCACCATTTTTATTTAAAAGACCAACTAGCAGACAAGCTATGGTTATTCAGACTTGGATATTTGGCAAACATGTTCTCCAAAAGGAACAATGTGGTTGTCGTCTCGAGGAAAAAACTGACAGCATTTGTTATAAATCACAACTTTGAGCCTTCAAGTATAAATGAGAATGCATACAGGAAAACATGTATTTGCCACCATTAGCTTGACAACTTCCTAGTACTGAAAGAATTTTCAAATGATATCACACTGGTGATATTGATGATTGTAATTTTTTTAATATTGTGTAAGAAAATGTGTCCACATTTGGAAGTACTATATAATTCAGTGAACCAGTATTTTCCAAACAACCACTGTATGAAATTCACATATGGGAAAAGAAGATCCACTCAAAATGCAAGACAGACTAGTGGATTATAATGTAACAGAGTACAAAATGTTTATTGATATGGCTTCAGATTCCGCATTGCAACTAGCCTTTAAGAAACTACCACTTGTCAAGTTTTGGTAGAGTATCTGAGAAGAAAATTCACAATTATTTGAAAAGGTGACTAAAATACTCTTTCCTTTTCTGAATTACATAGCTAAATATTTTATATTTACTTTCACCAAACATACAGCAATGGCATGAATACAGAAGCAGATATGAGAATCCAACAGTCTTCCATTAAGGAGACATTAAAGAGATTTGCAAAAAATGAAAACACTACCCTTCTCACTAGTCTTTTTGTTTTGGAAAATATGGTAATTTTTATTAAAATATTTATGTTGGCCAGGCACGGTGGCTCATGCCTTTAATCCCAGCACTTTGGGAAGCTGAGGCGGGAGGATCACTTGAGGTCAGGAGTTCAAGACCAGCCTGGCCAACATGGTGAAAACCCGTCTGTACTAAAAATACAAAAATTAGCTGGGCATGGTGGTGGGCACCTATAATCCCAGCTACTCAGGAGGCTGAGGCAGGAGAATCACTTGAACCCGGGAGGTGGAGGTTGCAGTGAGCTGAGATTGCGCCACTATACTCTAGCCTGGATGACACATTGAGACTCCATCTCAATAAAATAATAAAATAAAATGTTTATGTTAATGTAATGAATTTGACAGTAATTTTTAGTTAATGAATAAATATTTTTTAATTTCTCAATTTTAATTTTCAATATGGTAAATATCAATAGATATGACTTACATAAACCAAATCTTATGGGGCTTTCAGTCATTTAGTTTTAAGAGTGCGAAGGCGTCCTGAAACCACAAAGTTTGAGAACCGCTGCTGTAGCGAAATCCACCTAAGCCATTACATTAGGGACTATCTTCAAAGAAATGAGAGAAGAAAGCCATGTGGATGAATTCTTTCTCATCCTCCAGGTGGTAACTGAGAGACTCTAAACCAGCATGATGGCTGCAGGCCAAGAGTCTTATTTGTGGGTGCTGCATTTGAATTCCAGTCCCTTACTATGAAAACCTAACCATGAACCCACAGATGGTTCAGCAGAGCCACTGAACAAAGTATAACTAAAATGCAACTTATCTGAATAAGGCCCCATGGGAAGTGGATGCTTTTCTTTCTGTAAGACAGAACCCCACAGAATCACAGGAAAGGATATTTCAACAATGGCCAGTTACCAATAAAGAGAGCAATTTCATAAAGGCTAAGATGGGGGAGAGAACTATAACATGTTCAACTTTCCCACTATAAAAAGAGGACATAAAAGACCTTATTCAAAAAATATGACGTATTTCAGGCGGGGCATGGAGGCTTACACCTGTAATCCCAGCACTTTGGGAGGCCAAGGTGGGCGGATCACCTGAGGTCAGGAGTTCAAGACCAGCCTGACTAACATGGCAAAACCCCATCTCTACTAAGAATACAAAAATTAGCCGGGTGTGGTGGTGGGCGCCTGTAATCCCAACTACTCAAGAGACTGAGGCAGGAGAATTGCTCGAACCCGGGAGGTGGAGGTTGCAGTGAACCGAGATTGTGCCATTACACTCCAGCCTGGGAGACAGAGCAAGACTCCATCTCAAAAAAAAAAAAAAAAACAGATTTATTTCTTAAGAGAGATATGGAGAGATATGTGTGGGTGTGCGTGTGTGTGTGTATGACTTGACTCCATTTTATGTCAGTTATAGAATTAAGTGGGAAGGAAAAGAGGAGAGAAGGGAAGGAAAGAGGAAAGAGACTTGAGGAAAATAGGTAGTGGAGTAGAGGGAAGAGGTGCCGAGGGGGAATGAGAGAAGCAAATTCTGAGAAGAGGAACAGTCCACACAGGACTTACGGGAACCTTAGACAGGAGTGAGGCTGGCTTCTCCCTTATAAGTGGGAAGAGGCTGTGGACCAGAGAGCTTAAGTGGTTTGATCAGTGCTAGGACTTTAAGATGAATTTTCTGCATTCTAAGCAGGGACAATACATTACATAAAAGAAGGAAAAAATACATAAAGAGAAGAGCAAGAAAGGCAGCAAAGGGAGATAGTTTAGGAGAAAGTGATACAAGGGATGAGAGAGACCAATACCCCCTACACACACACAGCCCCATACACACACACACACACACACACACACACACACACACACACACACACCATGCAGCAAGTTCTAAGGTGGGTATTAATCTAACTAAACAATATTTGTCACACCCTGACACCGCCACGCACAAAGTTTAGAGACCGCGTTTAGAGTTTAGAGGCCCAGTACTTCCCCATCTCCTATGCATAGAAATTACCTGGGGATCTTGTTAAAAAGCAGGTGCTGATCCCATTATCTTGGGTGGGTCTGAGATTCTGCATTTCTTAATGAAGTCCTGCATGAAGCTGCTGCATTTCAAGGACCACCCTGGGAACAGGAAGGCACTATGCCAGCCATCCTCAGTGTGGTCCCTGGATCAGCAGCATCTGCATCACCTGGGAACTTGCTAGAAATGCCCATTTTTGGGCCCCACTTCAGGCCTACTGAATCAGAAACCATGGGGATAGGGCCCGTAATCTGTGCTTTAACAACCCCTCAAGGGGATTCTGGCATGTTAAAGTTTGGGACCATTGCCCTGGGCCATTTTGCCTCCCATCATCTTGTTATTTAAACAAATGTGACAAATCTTCATGTTCAAGTCATTCACTTTTCACGGGGCTAACCAAAATGTCTATTAAGAATTATCAGCATTCCAGTGACGATTTTCAAATATTCTTAAGATTTTAAACTGACACTGAGATCACAGGCTCAAACACGATGAGCGATTTAGAAAGTGCTTCCTAGGATGGAGGCGGTGGCTCACGCCTGTAATCCCAGCACTTTGGGAGGTCAAGGCGGGCAGATTACCTGAGGTCAGGAGTTCAAGACCAGCCTGGCCAACATGGTTAAACCCTCTCTCTACTAAAAATATAAAAAAAATAGCTGGGTGTGGTGGTGGGCACCTGTGATCCCAGCTACTCAGGAGGGGAGGGAGGAGAATCGCTTGAACCTGGGAGGCGGAGGTTGCAGAGCCGAGATCGAGCCATTGCACTCCAGCCTGGGTGACAGGAGCAAAACTCTGTCTCAAAAGAAAGAAAGAAAGAAAGTGCTTCCTGAAGCCTCTTTTATTGAGTTCACCATGGCTCTAATTGATTCAGACATGCACACATGGGACTGAACTAAAATATTCCCAAAATCGACACTCAGAGGATAAAAAAAAAAACCTTCATACTTTTTTGTTAGAATAAAATATCCCCTTTAGCTTATTCCCACTTGCACACTTTAAGCTCCTAGACCTGGCCATAGATCCCTCAGGACCTATGTTCAATCTAGGAGCCTTTGAATCTGGCCCCGTTTTAATAGAATAAGGGTAGGGGCCCTGCAGCTTCAGCAGTCACCCAAGCACAAGACTCAGCAGTCCCTCTGGTCTTCCCAGCCCTCTGCAGTCATGAGCTCTGACGCAGAAATGGCCATTTTTGGAGAAGCAGCTCCCTACCTCCGGAAACCAGAGAAGGAGAGAATCGAGGCTCAAAATCGTCCATTCGATTCCAAGAAAGCCTGCTTTGTAGCGGATAATAAGGAAATGTATGTGAAAGGCATGATCCAGACTAGGGAAAATGACAAAGTCATAGTCAAGACCCTCGATGACCGGGTGAGTGTTGATTACAGATGTCTTTGATAATATGGGCATGCTCATTTTTCTTTGGAGTAGAATATTAGAAATTGCATGCTGGTCCTTCGGAATCTGAAGACAGAACAAAACTTAGTTTATCTGTTCTGCGGTGAAGTAGCAGATGAAAGCTGCTATTACATGCACCTTCACTCTTGCCTCTTTCCTTCTCCAAGGACTTGGGCTTTGAGGGGTTTTGTGGTGTTTGCTTTAGAGGAAAGCAGCAGGTGAGGGCAGAAAAGGTTGGTCTATTTAAGGAAGAGGCTGATACTGGATGGGCCGACCAATTATACCTCTCTGGGCTGCAGAGTGGCTGCTACAGAGGAAGCTCAGGAGCCATTGACTCACTTAATGTGGAGAATTATCATGTACCATTCAGTACTTACCGGACATCTACCAGGTCTAGGTCATAGCATTGATCGCTTTGCAAATATAAGCATACCTCTGCACCTGCTTTCCCAAAGTTTCCCAAAGATGTATATGGCAGGTATGAATCTCATTTCACAAACTCAGGCATATGAGAGAGACCTTGCTTTTATTTTTTGTTATTAAACTTAACCTCTAATTCCAGTCCTTTTTCAGTGGGCTGGGGAAAAATGTGTTCAGTCACTCTTGGGGTGCCCTCACCACCGCCTCAGGAATATGTCACATTTTCAGAACCTTACACAGCACTACACGGGGGACTCACAGCCTCCCTGGAGGATTTATTCAGAAACAAGTCCCAGTCCTTAAAGATTCAGGATACATAGACTTTTCTACCTCCCCTTTGGCTACCTTGGGTGTCTGTTTCTCTTTTTCTAGTCTTGGGTGGTGGAGTGGAAGGCCTTTCCTTCCTCAAAAAATTTGGTCTATACCAGCAAAACTCCTTCCTTTTATCTTTTCTGTGAAACCCTCAAAGTTTTCCTAAGGACTTAGGTTTTTGGAAAACAAAATCCAGGAAGTATTACAAGCTCTTTTTCTTTTCTTGCCCTATTTTTTTTTTTTTTTTTTTTTGAGACGGAGTCTCACTGTGTCGCCCAGGCTGGAGTGCAGTGGCGTGATCTCGGCTCACTGCAAGCTCCGCCTCCCGGATTCACGCCATTCTCCTGCCTCAGCCTCCCTAGTAGCTGTTCTTGCCCTATTTTCTGTCTCTCCTGAGCCATGGAGTGCAGAGCCAGCTTGAATGGGGGAGAGAGGTGGGAAAAAAACAGAGGGAAAAAAAATTAAATAATATTCTGAAAATATTCAGCAAAGAACCATGATGCACCCCCAAATGTCTGAACTATTAGAGCAGAGGTACAAATAATTATGGGAGCCTTGAAGCAATAGGGGAGAGAGGAGATGGGTCGTGGAAGAGTTGGTGCTAGAGCTGAGCTTTGAAGGTTTCTAAACAAAATTTTCATGAAGACATTCCAGCTGAAGGAAACCTCATGAGCAGAGATTTTGAGGTGGAAAAACACAGAACACTTTGGAGCAGTTCTTTGTAACCTTCCAACCTTTGTCTCATCACAGCACTCACAACAAATAGGGTAAACAGAGGCAAAGGGCTCCAAAGCTCTGCACACCTGTAACCCACTCCTGGTACACACGACAGCAGGATGACTGAGGGGCATCAGACCAGAATTGGTTACATAGTTTGACCAGAATCAGATTCTTCAAGAACTGTTATTTATGGATCATGTTGGGGCATGGAAATGATCCATGAAATTATCCATCACAATGCGGTAATTCCTCCACAATATCTCACTACTTCCACCACACCAGTAAAGTGCAATGTGGGCACTTGGCTCACCAATTTATTACCTGCTTTTCCTCTCAATACCCAGATGCTCACTCTGAACAATGACCAGGTCTTCCCCATGAACCCTCCCAAATTTGACAAGATCGAGGACATGGCCATGATGACTCACCTGCATGAACCTGCTGTTCTGTACAACCTCAAAGAGCGCTATGCAGCCTGGATGATCTACGTGAGTGTCTGTAAACACCTTTTTATTTCATGTCTCTCTCTGAGTAAAAACGAGATCCAAATGATAAATGTTCTGATCTTCCCAGACCTACTCAGGCCTCTTCTGTGTCACCGTCAACCCCTACAAGTGGCTGCCGGTGTACAAGCCCGAGGTGGTGGCTGCCTACAGAGGCAAAAAGCGCCAGGAGGCCCCGCCCCACATCTTCTCCATCTCTGACAATGCCTATCAGTTCATGCTGACTGGTGAGTAATTTCTTTGATTCATATTTTTTGAAGCCATCCTTAGTTAATTTTTCAAGCTTTTGATGGGCGTTGGCCATCTGAATGGTGCAATAATCAAAGGATCTTCGGAGAGTCAGATGATTTGGGGATGAAAAGCAAAGGGTACAACATCTTCCATTGCCAGTCACAGTGCATGACAAGGCCTGTGATTATGGCTGAAGCTACACTGAGCTCTTGCTTATTTGGGAGAATGTGGAACACAAGGAGATGCCCTACCTTTGTCCCCAGGGAACCCCCAATCCAGGTGTACTTTGAAGAGAAACCATATCAGTAGCCACTCAGGGAATGCTACGTTGGAGAAATGGGTAAAGCAGTGTTCCTGCGTTCTTCCCCAAACTCAGGCTCCCCTTCACCTCCTTTAATTTCCAGAATGACCTGGGGAGTAAGGACATGGTAACACTGTCATGCCATGATGCCTAATATCAAGTCTGTCTGTTCAACCTTCACCTGACTTGACTTGGAACAGATGCTAGAAGTAGAAGCAAGGCTGGGTGCGGTGGCTCACACCTGTAATCCCAGCACTTTGGGAGGCCGAGGCAGGTGGATCACCTGAGGTCAGGAGTTCGGGGCCAGCCTGGCCAACATGATGAAACCCTCTCTCTAGTAAAAATACAAAAAAATTAGCCAGTCATGGTAGTGGGTGCCTGTAATCCCAGCTACTCAGGAGGCTGAGGCAGGACAATTGCTTGCACCTGGGAGGAGGAGGTTGCGGTGAGCTGAGATCTCGCCACTGCACTTCAGCCTGGGCAAAAAGAGCAAAACTCCGTCTCAAAAAAAAAAAAAAAAGAGTCTAGCATCTGAATCTGAGACCTGTAGATGCTTAAAAATCATCTAATGCAATGGTGTCCAAACTTCTGTCATTTCTGTCTCACAATCACAATCCTTGCCATGTCTGCAAACTTAATATTTTTCTTGAAATTAGTTCATGTTACATTAATTTTAAAGGGAAGACTAATACCACAATTTCTATTAGTTTGCTATGGCTGCTCCAGTATCACAGACTGGGGGGCTTACACAATAGAAATGTACTTTCCCACAGTTCTAGAGGATTGAAGTCCGAAGTCAAGGTGTCATCAGGATTGGTTAGTCTGAGGACGCTGAGAGAGAATCTGGCCCATGTCTCTCTCTCCTAGCTTCTATGGTTTGCTAGCAGAAATCTTTGTTGTTTTTTATTTGTAGAAGCATCACCCTGATCCCTGCCTTAATCTTCATATGGCATTCTCCCCATGTGCTTGTGTGTCTCCAAATTTCTTCTGTTTATAAGGATACCAGTCATATTAGATCAGGGGCTTGCCCTACTCCAGCATGACCTCATCTTGAGTAATTACCCCTGCATCTTGTTTACATCTTATTTCCAAATAAGGTCATATTCTGAGGTACTAGGGGTTAGAAATTCAATATGTGAATTTTAGGAGGACACAGTTCAATCCATGCTCTATTGTAAATGAAAAACCAGTATCACTTTTCACAAGTAGAAGGTAAAGGTAAAAGAAAAATGCAATGAAACCAACCAGCATCTATAAATGCTGATGAAAAGCTGTGGCCCCACAAGCTCTGAACCTGACACTTGCTTTCTTTATGGAAAAGGGCGATGGGAAAGGACTAGCAGGGAGTTAAAGATCTATAAACATGAGTAACTTCTACACTGTGGGATTCACTACAGTGAGTAGAGAATCATTCACCTCCCAGGCTGGTCATGTTGCACATCCCACATTTGAGAAATCTGCCTAAATTGTCCCAAAGAAGATTAGACATGCCCAAATCATACCAGTGGTTAATGGCAAAGACATTAACTAGAGCCTATGTTCTCCAACCACCCCCAATGTTACTTTATTTTAACATTCTGTTTGTTGTTTATTTGTTTTGTTTTGCTTCCCTCTGCATTTCTAGATCGAGACAACCAGTCTATCCTCATCACGTGAGTAACACCTCTTTGTACCATCATGACTTGGAAACCAGTGCCCTCCCTTCCACTCTCCTTTATCCCGTTTACTTTTAAATTGGCAGCGGAGAATCCGGGGCTGGGAAGACTGTGAACACCAAGCGTGTCATCCAGTATTTTGCAACAATTGCAGTTACCGGGGACAAGAAGAAGGAGACACAGCCAGGCAAAATGCAGGTGAGCAGCCCCACCTGCATCCGGAGGCTTACTGGAATAAGTATACTTTAAAGCGTGGATGAGCACCAAGTGTATGCAGGGTATGCGCTCAGTAGAAACGGCAAATAGGAAAAATTCTTTCTTTCCTCTCTGTATCCTCACACAGAACGTGTCTGCCATCAAATGTATGGGGTTTTTCCATGCCAAACAATTCTCTAATTCTCTGCAGACACCAACTGGGTGTCCTACAATTCAATTCAATTCTGATACTAACTACCTAGAGAAAGCATCAAATCACACAAGTTAAGGGCTCAGTCCTGCAAAACTGACCCCACTTTGGATACCAGGGACCAGTCCGGGCCTCCTGAACTTCTAAGCAAGCAGCTATTAATTGGGAGGAGCTCACGACCCCCGTCTCAGGTTTGGTAATTACCTAGAGTGCTTCACAGAACTCAGAGAAACACTTTGCTTACATTTGCCAGTTTGTTATAAAGGCTGTTACAAAGGATGCAGAGGAAAAGCCAAGTGGAAAAGATGTCTAGGGCAAGGTATGGGGGAGGGGCAGGGTCTCTGCAGGTGACATCCTCCCAGTACCTCTAGGTGTTCATCAACCTGGAACCTCTCTGAAGCCTTCTGTGTAGGGTTTTTATAGAGGTTGCATTACATGAGCATGATTAATTAAATCACTGGCCATTGATGATTGACTCAACCTCCAGCCCTTCTTTCCTTCCCAGGGGTCAGGAATAGGGCTGAAAGTTCCAACTCTCTAATCACGCGGTTGGTTCCCTGGCAGCCAGCCCCCATCCTGAGCTGTCCAGGACCCCGAAGCCACCAATCATCTCATTAGCACACAAAAAGACATTTATCACTTCAGATATTCCAAGGGTTTTAGGAGCTGCGTACCAGGAAACTGGAAAAAGACCAAAATATACCATTCCTATTACATCACAGTATCACATGGAGCAAAGCAGGAAGTGGTTCCACCAGAATGGACTTGAGTTCTAGCACCAGCTCCATCACCTACAGTTGAGGGACCTTGACCAACTCCACATCCTCCTCTGGAGAAGGAATGTTTACACCAGTGGTTTTCAAACTGGAGTACACATCAGAATCAACAGGAGAGATTCTTAACAAAGGGCGGCAGAACCCAGGCCCAGAATTCCTGATTGTGTAGATCTAGGGTGGGACCTCATAGTTTGCATCTTTTTTTCCTTTTTATTTTGGAGAGACAGGGTCTCACTCTGTCACCCAGGCTGGAGTACAGTGGCACACCATCATAGCTCACTGTGACTTCAAACTCCTGGGCTCAAGCGATCATCCTTCAGCCTTCCAAGTAGCTAAGACTACAGGAACCACCATGCCTGGCTAGTTTTTTTTTAATTTTTTGTAGAGATGGAGTCTCACTATCTTTCCTAGGCTGGTATCAGACCGTTGGCCTCAAGTAATCCTCCTGCCTCAGCCTTCCAAAGTGCTAATTACGAGTGTGAACTACCATACCTGGCATTTCTCATATATTCCCAGGTAGTGTTCATGCTGCTGGTCCAGGGACCACACTTTGAGAACCACTAGGTTTGACAGTAGTTTCTAAATTGCTCTGGACCCAGAAGGATAAAGCAGTCATGGAGGTGAAGGTGAAAACTCTGCTTTCTGTAGTGGATTTCTGAATAATCATTCTCATAAGTTTTTGCTACATAAAAAACCTTTTTGAGAACCACTGTTGTTATTGTATCATCCCCTGGGTCGCTTGCTTTGCTCACATTCTATTTCTCCTTCTGAAGACAAATATCTATATTAGGTGGGTCATATTACATGCAATAACAGAGGTGCATGTTATAAAAATCCATGATTTATAATGAAATGTTATCAGAAAGGCAGTCTGGATGTTCTGATGGAGGGAGTAATATTCCTGCCTAGAACCTGGCATGACCAGAAGTCACTTCAATGCTATGCTAATAAGAACCTGTCTAAGATGGTACCTTGAAGACGCCTCAGGTCTGGTGGGGGTGGGGGCGTGGGTGCTGCACTGACCACCAGGTGGAGCTGGTCGACATCTCTACCTGAACCTGCCCAGAGTACCCACCGTTTTAGTCATCAAGGGGCTACTTTAGAAAACCATCCAAAGTCCTCTTTTTCCTCTTCTTGTTTATTATTAGGGAACCCTAGAGGATCAGATCATCCAGGCCAACCCACTGCTGGAGGCCTTTGGAAATGCCAAGACTGTGAGGAATGACAACTCCTCAAGATTTGTAAGATCCGGCCCAATTTTCAAGTATCCTCCCAAAAGCATACCCTCTCCTGAAATGCTGGATATGAAAAACTGCCCCATAAACTGGAATATATGGGGGCCTTTTTCTACCCCCAAGTGATTGAGATCAATCTACCCACCTGGAATATTGTGATACACTTTGAGGAAGGTGTTGGCTTGGTCCTGGCAGAGGGAGGATTTGCCGTCCTACCCTAACTAGGCAATGTCACCTCACAGCATCCTGAAGTCACTCACATGATTCAAATCCCACAATTAGAGATCAACTTTATGCTAAAATGGGTCTCTCTGTGTGGAAACATTTTAAAATGTTAACGTCCATTAAGCCATATCTATTGGTCTAGCCACGGAAACCTTAGTGTGAATTAAGTTAGCAGATTTGACCTCTTCCAACTCAGTAGGGACTGGGAGCAGGGAAAACCTAGTGAAGGCAGAAGAGCTCAAAAATTTGAAATAGTCTGGGCGCGGTGGCTCACGCCTGTAATCCCAGCACTTTGGGAGGCTGAGGGGGGCGGATCACTTGAGACCAGGAGTTTGAGACGAGCCTGACCAGCATGACGAAACCCCATCTCTACTAAAAATACAAAAAATTAGCTGGGCATGGTGGCACATGCCTGTAATCCCAGCTACTTGGGAGGCTGAGGCAGGAGAATCGCTTGAACCCGGGAGGTGGAGGTTGCAGGGAGCCGAAGTTGCAACACTGCACTCCAGCCTGGGCAACAGAGGGCAACTCTGTCTCAAAAAAAAGAAAAAAATATTGGAATAGATTCATACTGAAGATATTGAAGGATATATGCCATCCTTCAACTTTTTACTTAGGTTTGGCTTAATCAAAAAGACATTTACTTCCCATCGGAAATAAACACACATCCAGCCCTCTATTTCATTTCACTGGCCAGTGGAGCAAGTACTCAGAGGCAAAGCCATCATTTGTGCCTATGGTTGCAAAAGTACATTAAAACTTCACACATCTTAATAGTTGGATAGTCTCAAACTTGTATTTCGTCGCCTGAAAGATAAAATGGTTATCAATGAGGAAGTAGGTAATCCATCAAGGACCATGGCTCTGAGCCTTGACTTTTGTTTCCTTGGATATGTTCTTTGTACCCTGTGCACTGCCAGTTTGCACCTGTATCCTCCCCAGTGCCCAAATAAACTCCTCTTCCTTGTGGAAGATCTGGGCACATGTTACATGGCAGAGGTATGTTACCCATGCCTGGACCAAGTTAGTTATTGCACTGGCCTGACACCAGCTTAAAGTGAAAGACAATACCTTCAGGCACTCCCTCTTCTCATTCCCATTTACTTAGTTCATGGGCCTCTACTCTTAGCCCTGACCCAGAAGTCACAATCATTCTAATTATTTTGTCCTCTTTCCACCCTCCAAATATTTGCAGGCTAGGGATGACTTCCATTGTCTTCTGTTAAGCCGCTAAATATACTGAAGACACAGCACTTACAGTGCACATGTGCCTTTACTGATCCTTCACTAACTTTTCCTGGGGTTCATTCAGAAAATATTGAGGCTAGTACTAAGTACCATCCACATTTCAGACACTGTGGGTGAAAAAGCAAGAAAACATTTTTTGTCCTCAAATTTGCGCACAGTGTCGTTGAGGACCAATTAAGCAGATAATGTATGAAGCAGGTGCATACACACAAACACGCATATGAAATTTTACCTCCCACTCCCCAGAAAGTGGGCCACCTAGACCCTGAGTTGTTCTTTTGGCAGCCAGGGAGCCAGGCCTGAGCCTGAGCCCGGGCCTCTGAGCCAGATTTGTCTGTAGTCAGCCATATGTGAAACTCAGGCAAGAAATCTCAGAAGTAGCATCTATTAAGATACAAGCAAAAAAAAAAAAAAAAAAAAAAAAAAAAAAAAAAAAAAAGTCAGACAGAACAATCCAACCAGTTACAATTAAAAGGTGTTATGAAGATTTAAGAATCCAGGTATAAGAGAACAGGATGAAAACCAGGCAGGCAGTCAAGAATGGAGTAGTCCCAAGAAGAGAGCTGGAGAAGGAGCCTGTGGGCATCCCCTGAGTTGTGGGAACAGGGACAGGTGCTTGGGTAGAGCTACCTGAGTCCTTGCTGACCCAGCTTGGGAGCACTGGGCACCCGGTGGAGAGGTGCCCATGTTCTGGCATCCCTTCCTTCTGAGCCAAGGAGAGGTCATGGTGGCCAATATCAATGACAGTGAAGAATTGTTGGCGACAGATGTAAGCATGCCATTTATTTGTTTGTTTACGGACAGAATTATTGAGTTTATGAACTGAGAGACATGTTAGTGAGCTAATGGGAAAACTGAAATCCAGGGATACTAAGTGATTAGACTCAAGATCTCAGACATCAAGGGCTCAGAGAATCAGCACAGATTGGCCCCTCCCTACTCAGCTCCTCCTCACAGCATTCCAAAATGCAAATCCAGAAGGTTCACCAAAGCAGGCCTTCAGTTCTGTTCTCTAGCATTTTTGCATTTATAATTTATCTGTGGCAGCACCTATCTAAGGCCAGCCACAAAACCATATAAATCAAATAACCGTAACATTTGTCCACCTGTTATTGGACAGGGGAAGTTCATTCGGATTCATTTTGGAGCCACAGGAAAGCTGGCATCGGCAGACATCGAAACTTGTGAGTCCAAACACTCTATAAATCCGTTGGTGTTTTGGCCACAAAAGCATCTCTTGGGAGCCTGAAATCACGTTATTTTTGTTACCTTAGATCTGTTAGAAAAATCCAGAGTGACGTTTCAATTATCCAGTGAGAGAAGCTATCATATTTTCTACCAAATTATGTCAAACAAGAAGCCAGAACTAATTGGTAAGCTCTTGGAATACCTTTCTTATGTTCCAAATCGGTGACGTTGGGAAAAAAAAAACAACCCAGAGTAAGTTATGCATAAGCCATTAAAGGGATATCTGTGTTTCACAGACCTGCTTCTGATCTCCACCAACCCCTTCGACTTCCCCTTCGTGAGCCAAGGAGAGGTCACGGTAGCCAGTATCGATGACAGTGAAGAACTGCTGGCGACAGATGTAAGCATGCCATTTATTTGTCTGTTTATGCACAGAATTATTGAGTTTATGAACTGAGAGACACGTTAGTGAGCTAATGGGAAAGCTGAAATCCAGGGATACTAAGTGATTAGACTCAAGATCTCAGAGATCAAGAGCTCAGAGAATTAGCACAGATTGGCCCCTCCCTACTCAGCTCCACCTCACAGCATTCCAAAATGGAAATCCAGAAGGTTCACCAAAGCAGGCCTTCAGTTCTGTTCTCTAACATTTTAACTGGAATGCATTTTTGCATTTATAAGATCTTTAACCTAACATTCGTTGAAAGTTTTCATGTTGCAAAACCATCTACATGGTTCTTCAAGAAAATTTAGAAAATATAAAAATGTATAAAGCAGAAAACCAAGCCCACTCTGTAATAGCCTCTCCATTTTTCTTTCTGCCTTTCACTTTAGGCTCACCTTAGACACTCAGCTCCTCAGTACACCTGTCAGGCCTGTGGTGTTTATTTTGGGGAAGTACCTGTAGGATTAATAATCTTAATAACAATAATAACCAAATATATTGAGCACTTACATGTGCCAGGCACTGAGATAAGTGGCTTTACCTGCATTGTCTCATTATAGTCTCAAAATTATGTCATTATTGTCTCCATTTTACAAATGTGGAAGCTGATTCTTAAAATATATATAATTTTCTGGAAGACACAATTCGTCAATGACAGAGTCTTTCCCTTCCTTCCTTCCTTCCTTCCTTCCTTCCTTCCTTCTTTCCTTCCTTCCTCTCTCTCTCCTTCTTTCTTCTCTTCTTTTCTTTTCTTTCTTTTTTCAGACAGAGTCTCGCTCTGTCGCCCAGGCTGGAGTGCAATGGCATGATCTCAGCTCACGGCAACCTCCGCCTCCTGGGTTCAAGAGATTCTCTTGCCTCAGCCTCCCAAGTAGCTGGAACTACAAGGCATGCACCACCATGCCTGGCTAATTTTGTGTGTGTGTATTTTTAGTAGAATTGGGGTTTCGCCATGTTGGCCAGGCTGGTCTCAAACTCCTGATCTCTGGTGATCCACCCAGCTCAGCCTCCCAAAGTGCTGGGATTACAAGCATGAGCCACTGCACCAGGCCCAATGACAGAGTATTTAAACACAGGTCTGCCTAACTACAGAGCTTACATTTTTAATTAAAGTATACCGTCTGTGAGCAATTCATCTCCACCCTTGTTGGCTCCACCCATACAAAAGCTTCAAGAGCTTGCGAAAAGGGGTCTTGTCCATCATCCTAGAGACACTGCCCCATGACCAGCTTCTTAGCCTTCATTTGGTGACATTTCCAGCTGATAATAATTGTTTTAACACAAATAGAAAAATTTTCATGATCAAATAAACTTGTTATCTTAGGTCTAATAGTGTTAAAAGAAAAATTTGAGACAAATTAAATTTAGCAGAGTTTATTTGTGCAAAGAATGATTCATGAGTTGGACCACACTCAGCACCTGGAGAGGCTCAGAGAGCTCCACCCAGCAACATGGCAGGCAGTATTTATAGGCAGAAAAAGGAAGTGACATACAGAAACAGCTTGATTAGGTACAGGTCTGCCTTTGCCTTATCTGCAGGTGGTGTGATGAAGCATTTGTGTTATATGCACAATGGCCCATCAGTTTGGCAGCCTGTGATTGGCTGAAGCTCAGCTGCTGTGATTGGCTGAGACTCAGCTGCTGTGATTGGCTGAAGCTCAGCTGCTGTGATTGGCTGAAGCTCAGCTGCTGTGACTGGCTGAGACTCAGCTATTTGTTACAAGAATATACTCTTAGGTTGCAGTTTGTTTACATACTAATTTAGGTTATAGTTTGCTATGTATGGAGGCAGTTTTAGACCAAATTTAATTTAAGTTGTTATATATTTTTAATGAGGTTTCCCCAGTCTTCACTAACTTGTAAGCACAGAAAGGGCCAGGCTAATGACTGCTACAAGGCCCCCATCCACTGAGAAAGGCCCACCTAAGGAATTCTAAAAGTCACCTTACCTAAGTCATGTCCTCACCAAGATGCCTTCTGCCAGATGCGGCTGTTGCTCCTTCCTCTCACGGAGCCTTTTTTTGGTTTTTTGTTTTTTGTTTTTTTTGAGATGGAGTCTCGCTCTGTCCCCAGGCTGGAGTGCAGTGGTGCGATCTCGGCTCACTGCAACTTCTGCCTCCCAGGTTCAAGCAATTCTCTGCCTCAGCCTCCCAAGTAGCTGGGATGACAGGCACCTGTCACCACGCTCGGCTAATTTTTGTATTTTTAGTAGAGAAGGGGTTTCCCCATGTTGGCCAGGCTGGTCTTGAACTCCTAGCCTTGTGATCCACCCACCTCGGCCTTCCAAAGTGCTGGGATTACAGATGTGAGCTACCGCGCCTGGCCTCACGGAGCTTTTATAGCCTGCCTGGTATAGTCTCCCTTTTTATGAACTCAAAGTCAACTGATTGGTAACTTCATAATGGGAGTGACATCCCATCATATACCCAGGTTCCACCTGCACCCCTTTGGAGATGACATTCTCCAAAAGGGTCCCCAGGCAGTGACGCTTTCACCTGCTCCTTTTAGTGTTTTTGAAAGAGTTCTTTCTCTTTTAACCTACAACGACCCTTCCCTAGGACAGAGATATGCAACCCTGAAATGGGATATGGATTCAAGGGATGGCCATCATGGCCTCGGAATCTCTCCTCCCCATATATCCCAGCTCCTGGCATAGGCTCATTCTCCACTAAAGGGGGTGCCACTCCAAGAATGCTTGACTCTCCAATATCATCCTGCTGGTGTTGGCCTATTGGGTCTATCCTACGTGCTCACCAAACACGTCCAAACATGTTTCAATCCTACCAATGGACACTCTACAGGCTCAGGCTGCAAACCCTACTGCATAATCAATATGTGTACCCCAGAGAAGGATTTCTTTTTGTTGAAACCTTTGTGGTGGAAGACAGGCAACATGATTATAAAACCAAACCAGCAATGACCCTAGGTTTTGAAGGGACCAAGACCTAACTCCAGTCCCAGTCTTATCACACCCTCCCTGTATGACAGGCTACTTACCAACTAGACCCTCAATTCTTCATCCAGAAATCTGGAAAAACCTGCACAGCTAAAGGGGCTTCATGGGGATTTAATAACATACAGATGATGCCTACCCAATGTCTAGCACATAGAAAGAGCTCTGCAAAAGCTTGCCCCTTTCTCATTTGGGAAATGATGATGCCATCTTTGATGATCTTCCCTTCCAGATCTAATATTCCATAATGCATATTGTCTTGAGTCTGAACAATGCTGGAACTCCTGGATTACAATGCCAAACTCTTAAGCCATTAAACATTATTTCCCAGTCATTCTCCATGACATTCCCAGCTCTCAGTATCATACAATGGTTCCCAATCGCCTCATCCAGAAAACTGCTCCCCCAAATCTATGTACAGTGAGAAAAGATCATAATCAGTTCTCTTTTTTTTTTTTTTTGAGATGGAGTCTCACTCTGTCTCCCAGGCTGGAGTGCAATGGTACAATCTTGGCTCACTCCAACCTCCGCCTCCCAGGTTCAAGTGATTCTCCTGCCTCAGCATCCTGAGTAGCTGGGACTACAGGTGCCAGCCACCATGCCTGGCTAATTTTTTGTATTTTTAGTAGAGATGGAGCGTCGCCATGTTGGCCAGGATGGTCTCAAACTCCTGACCTCGTAATCTGCCTGCCCTGGCCTCTCAAAGTGCTGGGATTACAGGCGTGAGCCACCGCGCCCGACTGTAATCAGTTCTTATTTGATGGAAGGAAACAGACAATTCACATCTTTTTCCCATAGTCTTCACCCACCCACACAAACACGTGAAACAAATGGTTTCTAATTTACCACATCCCCACCTGTCATCCACTTATTTGGGCAAATGCTGTCTCATATGCTATACAAAAAAGAGGTAAGGTCTTTGCCAAGAAAAGGCTGCATATGGATCCCTGATTCCTGCTATGACAGTTGTCCTTTTTTTCTTTCCAGAATGCCATTGACATCCTGGGCTTCAGCTCAGAGGAGAAAGTCGGGATCTACAAACTGACGGGAGCCGTGATGCATTATGGGAACATGAAGTTCAAGCAGAAGCAGCGTGAGGAGCAGGCGGAGCCAGACGGCACCGAAGGTAACTGCATCTGGGAAAGGGATGCGATTGGGTCCATCTATGTTCATGTGCGGGCGAGGCCGTGTGAGATAAACTGCATTCATTTCAAGAGCTGTTCTTCCAAAACTGCATAAATCAAATCTGGGTTTCCTGAAGCTCATTGTAGCATGCACTAGGAAGTCTGCTCACTCAGTCAAGGACTCCCAGAGTAGTGAATTCTTGAAAAACAAAAAGCATCATTCTTGTAAATGAATAATCACCACGCACTCCACTATCTTTCACCATCTAAATGTGCCTGTTTTTTTTAAGGTGGACTTTTTTGAGACAATATTGTTAGGTGAACTTCTCTTCTCTCCACCAGAATGCAGTCTTAATTACTCAGGCCTAAAATGAGGCCTTTGGTAAAGTGGGAGCCAAGTTTTGTTCCTCCCATCGCCTCCACCCCAGCGTCTGTTGAACTTGACCCTGAACCAAGAATGGTGAACGGTTCTTCCTCCCCATAACTCTCACCTAGCTGATCCTACTGCCACCCTCTGCCCCATCCCTAAGAGGCCTGGAACTAGAGCACAGGGCAGCAGGAAGGGCTGAGCAGTGACTGACTCCCCACCATACGTCCTGCTCATTAGACTTCTTAGCTCTCACGATGCTTCTTACAAGTTCCTTGAATTAAAGCCTGGCAACATGGATCGTTCTTGATAATTCTGCCTTTTGATTACAGCCCCACAGTATGTGAAGCAGTGCGCTTTAAACTCTCAAGTAATAAAAAGGAAGTGCAGCCATAAATTAAAGGGTGGGAAAATCTACATAACCTTATCAGTGTCCCATAAATGCTTACCAACCTTCTATCCTAGGCCTGCCTGGGATAATTCTCCCTTTTTGTTAACTCAAAGTCAACTGATTGGTCACCGCATCATGGGAGTTGTACAGGTTCCACTGCACTCAAGTAAAGGAGGTTATACAAGGCATGTACACCAGGGGGCACACCTTGGGTGCCATCCTAGAATCCTGCCCATCACAGTGGAGGGGACTCCAAGTCTTCACACAGGAAACACTTCTGACTGGGGCAATCAGGGAAGGCTTCCTGATAGAAGGGGCACTGACTTGGACTTTGAGGGATGAATAGGATTCTGAAAAATTGGGGGAGAGATCAGTTCAAGCAGAAGAAATGTCATGAGCAGGCTGGGCACAGCAGCTCACGCCTGTAATCCCAGCACTTTGGGAGGCCGAGGTGGGTGGATCATCTGAGGTTATAGGTCAAGACCAGTCTGGCCAACATGGTAAAACCCCTTCTCTACTAAAAATACAAATTAGCTGGGCATAATGGTGCCTGCCTGTATTCCCAGCTACTCGGGAGACTGAGGCAGGAGAATCACTTGATCCCGGGAGGTGGAGGTTGCAGTGAGCCAAGATTGTACCACTGCACTTCAGCCTGGGTGAAAATCGTGAAACTCCATGAAATAAAGAGAAAGAAAGAAAGAGAAAGAGAGAGAGAGGGGGAGAAGGGAAGGGAAGGGAAAGGAAGGGAAGGGAAGGGAAGGGAGAAGGAAGGGAGAAGGAAGGGAAGGGAAGGGAAGGGAGAAGGAAGGAAGGGTCATGTGCAAAGGGGCAGAGGATGAACTGTGATGGGGATGGAGGCACAGTGAGTGGTCCACTTTGGCTACAGAACAGGATATAAGCAGTGGATTTGTAAGAAATGAGAATTTTAAAGTAACAATTTTTGCATCAGTTTGGGAAGATCTTGAGTGTCAGGATGAATGGTTTAGAATATATGGCAGGCCACGGAAGCCGCTGTCCAAGTAGCAGGGGAAGTACATGCAGACAACCTGAAATTAATCTGTCAGCAGCCAGGCTCACCAAAAGTGGGAAAACTTGAGAAGAAAAAAAAAAGAGTATCAGGCTCCTCAGCAACAGTGGACTGCATTGATACACGTATTGATATACCTCAGTAGGGTCCCAGGCCCTCTTCCAGCCCTAGCAGCTGTGTGTGTGCAGTGCTTAGGAGCAGAAAGTGGAGGACTATAATCAAGGCCAGTGCTCCAATGATATCAATGACGATACCAACCCAAGCTAATATTTGCTGGGTGCTCACTAGTCACCAGGCATGCTTCACGACAACCGTATAACATGAGTATTGTCACTGTCTCCCATTTTACAGACAAAACTGAGGCACAAAGAAGCAAAACCAAAACCTAAACCTAAACCTAAACCTAGAGCAGTCCGACTCTAGAGCCCAGGCTCTTGGCCACTATAACTGCTGGAAGCAGTGGAGAGGCCAGGCATTTTGAGAGTGAAATAAGCAGGACTTGGTGCCTGTCTGAACAAAGGAATGTCAGGGGCAAGAGAGAGAAGGATGTATCACCCCTTTCAAGTTTAAATGACAAGAAGAAGAATAATGGTACCATCTACCTGAATGGGCAAAGCAAGAAAAGGAGATAATTCGAGGAGAGAGTAAAGCACGCATCTGGCCTCTGATTAAGTACTTAACATAGACTGCCCTAGATTTTTATTAACTCATCTCCCCACCCAGCAATGAAGCAAGGGTCCCAACCAAGAAGTTATCCCTGGGGGCTGGGCAAGGTGGCTCACACCTGTAATCCCAGCACTTTGGGAGGTGGGCAGATCACAAGGTCAGGAGATCAAGACCATCCTGGCCAACATGGTGAAACCCCATCTCTACTAAAATAAAAAAAAATTAGCCGGGCCTGGTGGTGGGTGCCTGTAATCCCAGCTACTCGGGAGGTGAGGCAGGAGAATGGCGTGAACCCAGGAGGCGGAGCTTGCAGTGAGCTGAGATCGCGCCACTGCACTCCAGCCTGGGCAACATTGAGAAACTCTGTCTCCAAAAAAAAAAAAAAAAAAAAAAAGAAGTAGTCCCTGGGGAGCAGCATTTCTCTGCCTTTTTGATGAGCTCAATGCAGGCCCCCAGGTCCTTCTCAAAGTCAATGAACGTCTGCTGAAATATATGAAAATATATAACCCATGAACTGTAGGAAACAGCCAAAAGTCAAGTGCTTTTGACCATCTCCAAACATTTGAAGGGAGGGTCAAGTTTTGTACTTCTCTTTCAACTATGAGCATGGTACTTTGCTTAAATTAGGAAGGTGCCTCATGTATATTGTCAACTGTCCAAGTGGTGGCTCCTTTACTCATATAACATTTTAACGTATTGTCAGACTCCAACATAACTATGTAATTAATTAATTTTTTTTTTGAGTCGGAGTCTTGCTCTTGTCACCCAGGCTGGAGTTCAATGGCACGATCTTGGCTCACTGCAACCTCTGCCTCCTAGGTTCAAGTGATTCTCCTTCCTCAGCCTCCCAAGTAGCTGGGACTACAGGCGCTTGCCACAATGCTTGGCTAATTTTTGTATTTTTAGTAGAGACAGGGCCATATTGGCCAGGCTGATCTCGAACTCCTGACCTCAGGTGATCCACCCGCCTTAGCCTCCCAAAACGCTGGGATTACAGGCATGAACCACCGTGCCTGGCCTGTAATCAACATTCTTTTATGAAATCGAAATATCAGTAGGTCAAAATTGGCCACGGAGTATCTTATTGTTAAAACTGCATCTAGGAGGCAAATTGGAAGTTCCTGAGAACCATGGGCCCCTGGATATGGGATTAAAGCTTCAGTGAACAAGTCCAGACCTGGTACAGATATGACAACATGAAAACATTTAAGAAAATTACAGAAAACACTTCTGGGAGAAGCCAGGGGCTGACTGGACACTTTAGCAGCTACTGTTTTTGCATGATGCCATTTTTTTCTCTTCCTTCAGTGGCTGACAAAGCCGGATACCTGATGGGACTGAATTCTGCAGAAATGCTGAAGGGCCTGTGCTGTCCAAGGGTGAAGGTTGGCAATGAATATGTCACTAAAGGGCAAAATGTCCAGCAGGTAATGGAGATGCTCTGAATCCAGTTGATTGAGATCTTTTGCTATTTGAGCCATTATCTTAAAGCTCCTTCAGTTGCAGGTATCAGAAATGCACATGAAATCAGCTTTCACATTAAGAGGAAGTTCATTTTTAGGCTTCAGAGGCAACTGAAGGAATGCAAATCATTAAGTGCCCATTGGACGCCATGAGGACCTGGAATTAGAAAGTGAAGAGCCCTCTGGAGCCAGGCAGCCTCCCTCCAGCTCCTCTGGGATTCATGGGCTGTTGAGTCTCTCCTCTGTTGTGTCCTTGCTAGGCAGATAAGTTTCCTGGACCTCTCTTGCCCGTGGCCACCCCATAGCTCCCAAGTTTATATCTCTGTGTTTCCAGCCTCACCCTGAGACTGAGACCAGTGTCTTTTGATCCCTATTCCAAATTCTTAGGAGAGATACTCAATTAATCCAATCTGGATCAAGTGTTCACCTCTGGTCTAATTAAGTGTGGCCAGGGGCTGGAGTCATGTGCTATAACCATGTTGTTAGAAAAATATCTTTGTGAATAGGATAGTTCTCAAAGAAAGGTGAACAACATGAGCTGGGCAAACACCTCATAAAATATTTAATATTGCATTGAATGATCTGAAATTGCCAATATTCAACTGCTTTTGATTTTCTTTTTTTCTTTTGTTTTTTTTTTTTTTTTTTTTTTGAGACAGAGTCTCGCTATGTCACCAGGCTGGAGTGCAGTGGCACGATCTTGGCTCACTGCAACCTCCACCTCCCAAGTTCAAGTGATTCTCCTGCCTCAGCCTCCCGAATAGCTGGGACTACAGGCGCCTGCCACCACACCTGGCTAATTTTTGTATTTTTAGTAGAGACGGGGTTTCACCATGTTGGCCAGGATGGTCTTGAACTCCTGACCTCGTGATCCGCCCGCCTTGGCCTCCCAAAGTGCTGGGATTACAGGTGTGAGCCACCACGCCTAGCCAACAGCTTTTGATTTTCGAGTCAATTTCATATGTTTCAACTTAATGCAGCCATAGAAACACTAACTCAAGGGTTGAGTGGGTGATCCTTTTTCAAGGTGACCAATTCGGTGGGTGCTCTGGCCAAAGCCGTCTACGAGAAGATGTTCCTGTGGATGGTCACCCGCATCAACCAGCAGCTGGACACCAAGCAGCCCAGGCAGTACTTCATCGGGGTCTTGGACATTGCTGGCTTTGAGATCTTTGATGTGAGTTGTGACCTTCTACTTTCTTGTCTGCTTTGCTGAATCTCCAATGTATTTTCCAAGCTCACTCAAATTCTTTGGTATTTGAATCACCCAGTTCAACAGCCTGGAGCAGCTGTGCATCAACTTCACCAATGAGAAACTGCAACAGTTTTTCAACCACCACATGTTCGTGCTGGAGCAGGAAGAGTACAAGAAGGAAGGCATCGAGTGGGAGTTCATTGACTTCGGAATGGACCTGGCTGCCTGCATCGAGCTCATCGAGAAGGTAGAGAGATACTGCTGCCTGGGACAGCTCCTCCTTATTGGGGGCCCTCCCCTTCTTGCTCTGATTCTTTTCTGCTCACAGATTGGGGCCCCTAGCCCCCAGGCTGCAAGCCTTCAGATAGATAACTGAATGCCTATTTGCAAAGAGAATGAATGTCCTAAATCTGTTCTGACACTTAAAGAGGTTTACGGGTCATTAAAATCCAAGGGCTCAGTTATCTCCAAGAATGTGATGGAACCCCAGTAAGGACTGTGGCATTTCTTACCTATTTGACTTACCCAAAGACCCAAGGAGGCGGAACCATGGAGCAGTGTGGCTCTTGGAGGGATGTTAATATGAAAACAGGAATAGATATTAACTTTTTTTTTTTTTTTTTTTTTTGAGACGGAGTCTTGCTCTGTCACCCAGGCTGGAGTGCAGTGGTGCAGTCTCGGATCACTGCAACCTCCACCTCCCAGGTTCAAGCGATCCTCCTGCCTCCACCTCCTGAATAGTTGGGACTACAGGTGCCCGCCACCACGCCCAGATAATTTTTTTTTTCTTTTTTTTGTAGAGACGGGGTTTCACCATGTTGGCCAGGCTGGTCTCAAACTCCTGACCTTGTGATCCACCCACCTCAGCCTCCCAAAGTACTGGGATTACAGACGTGAACCACCACGCCCGGCCGACATTAACTTTTTAAAAAGGAATTCCCATAATATTTGAGCACTGCTCATGTTGGAATGAGTATATCTTCCTAAGGTGGCTACTGAGAAATTGGGACATTATTGTTCAAAATATTACTCACATTACTTTATGGCTATATATGAAACTTTACTTTTTTGTACACCTATTGAAAAAAGTATGCTAGGTTTATACACACATAATTTTATCCTATATTCTTTTGTTCAGCAAATATTAATTAAGCACATACTCTATGCCTAGCACTTTCTGGTCATCCCCCAAACAGACCAAGAGTCTTGCTCTCACCGAGCGTACATGCCAGCATTCCTGGTACCAGAGTGAAAGCACCAAAGAAGGTTTTTTGGCTTCTCCAGACCATGAAGCATGGGTATGCACTATTATATGTAGACTCTGTTATCCTCTTTCCAGCCTATGGGCATCTTCTCCATCCTGGAAGAGGAGTGCATGTTCCCCAAGGCAACAGACACCTCCTTCAAGAACAAGCTGTATGACCAGCATCTTGGAAAATCCAACAACTTCCAGAAGCCCAAGCCTGCCAAAGGCAAGGCTGAGGCTCACTTCTCGCTGGTGCACTATGCCGGCACCGTGGACTACAACATCGCCGGCTGGCTGGACAAAAACAAGGACCCCCTGAACGAGACTGTGGTGGGGCTGTACCAGAAGTCTTCGCTGAAGCTTCTCTCCTTCCTTTTTTCCAACTATGCTGGTGCAGAGACAGGTAAAATTCTATCATTTCTTTCCCTCTGTGGGACGTTCTATGTAATGACTCCTAACCCAGAGCTGCTTGTGAAGAACCAGTAATCAGACATGAGCTTCAGCTGAGTATGATGTTTCTCTTTCAGCTCCATTTTTCTTCCTCCTGCTCTTATTCTTCCTCTTCTGTAAGAGACTGGGCTCTATGGAGGTAAACAGGACCTCTCAGTGGCCAAGATAGTCAACATCACATTGTTTAATAGTTTTCTACTGAGGTATAATTCACATATAATAAAATTCACCCTTAAATCTATTTAGTGGTTTTGGCCAGGCATGGTGGCTCAGGCCTGTAATCCCAGCTCTTTGGGAGGCCAAGGCGGGGGCCGATCACTTGAGGTCAGGAGTTTGAGACCAGCCTGGCCAACATGGTGAAACCCCATCTCTACTAAAAATACAAAAATTAGCCGAGTGTGGTGGCACATACCTGTAGTCCCAGATACTCAGGCAGCTGAGGCCGGAGAATTGCTTTAACCTAGGAAGCAGAGGTTACAGTGAATGGAGTTTGCATCACTGCCCTCCAGCCTGGGTGACAGAGTGAGACTCTATTAAAAAAAAAAAAATTTAGTGGTTTTTAGGATATTCACAATGTTGTGTGACCATCACCACTGTGGAATTTGAGAACATTTTTCACACCCCCGTAACCCATGAGCAGATTTTTTTTTTTTTTTTTTTTTTTGAGACAGAGTCTTGCTCTTTCTCCAGGCTGGAGTGCAGTGGTGCAATCTCGGCTCACTGCAGGCTCTGCCTCCTGGGTTCAAGCGATTCCCCTGCCTCAGCCTCCCAAGTAGCTGGGACTACAGGCGCACGCCACCACGCCCGGCTAATTTTTTGTATTTTTAGTAGAGACAGGGTTCCATCATGGTGGCCAGGATGGTCTCGATCTCCTGACCTTGTGATCCACCCGCCTCGACCTCCCAAAGTGCTGGGATTATAGGCACGAGCCATCATGCCTGTCCCCATGAGCAGATTTCTATCCCTAGCCTCTGGCAACCACTCATCAACTTTCTGTCCCTGTAGATTTGCCTATCTGGGCATTTCATGTGAATGGAATTATATACTGGATGCTCTTTTGTGTCTGGCTTCTTTCAGGTTACTGTTCTCAAGGTCTGGCCCTGTTGTAGCATGTATCAGGACTTTGTTCTTTCTTATGGACAAATAATAGTTCATTGTATGAATATATCACATTTTGTCTGCACATTCATCAGCCGATGAACTTTCTGGCTACTGTGCATGATGTTGCTATGAACATTTGTATAGAAGTTTATATGTGAATATATATTGGCAATTCTTTTGGGTATACACGGTATATATATACGGTACCTAGGAGTAGAGTTGCTGGGTCATATGATAACTGTGTTCAAAATTTTGAGTAACTTCTGAACTCTTTTCCAGAGTGGTTACACAGGGGCCAGGCGTGGTGGCTTACACCTGTAATCCCAACACTTTGGGACGCTGAGGCAGAAGGATCATTTGAGGCCAGGAGTTCAAGACCAGTGTGGGCAACATAGAGATCCTGTCTCTAAAACAAAATAAAATAAGATAAAATAAAATAATTAGCCAAAAGTGGTGGTGCACACCTGTAGTCCAGCTACTTGGGAACCTGAGCTGGGAGGATCACATGAGATTGGGTGGCTGAAATTGCAGCGAGCCATGATTGGGCCACTGTACTCCAGCCCGGATGACAGAGTGAGACCCTATCTCAAACAAATAAATAAGTAACACAAGCCAGTAACACTTTTTAAGATTACCAGTAAATATACTTTTAAATAGTAGCCAACATAGAGTTTTAACATTATATGCCATTTTAAATGCATACATTTAATAAATTAATAAAATATATGAAATATAATTATTCATTAGATAATGAGATCATTTTTTAAAAATGAAAGCCTAATGTCCTCTGGGCCAGGGAATGTAATAAATAGGAAATGGGCACATGCGTAAACTTCAATGATGAAAATCATTTTCTTTGAATCTAATCACAATGTCTCTGTAACTACATTGCATAACCTCGCCTAGAGATAACATCAACTCTAACATAAGACCCTGTGTGGATGCGGATTTGGGGAAGCGACTTTCCTGCCTTCACTTCCCCAATCCAAACACACAGTCATGCTAGACCCCGGGGACAAAGTGGGATGAAGGGAAAGGAACATGGGGGAGACTGGGACATGACATTTTCCCCCAAGGCTGCATCTTGATTAAGTATCAGAGAAAACTGAGTCATTCAGAAAAAGTAGACTCCAAATTAAGATGGCAAATTGGGTTGTTTCCTGTAGGAAAGAAAAAGAAATCAACTTATAAAATATTGTTGAGAAAATTCCGTTTTATTACTTTCAGTTACTTACTCTTTAGAGATAAGCAGGGATTAAAGAATAAAAGGAGGTAAATTCATGAAAGAAACTACAAACATTGCCAGGCACGGTGGCTCACGCCTGTAATCCCAGCACTTTGAGAGGCCAAGGTGGGCGGATCCCTTGAGGTCAGGAGTTCAAGACCAGCCTGGCCAATATGGTGAAACTCTCTACTAAACATCTCTACTAAAAATACAAAAATTAGCCAGGCATGGTGACGCTCGCCTGTAGTCCCAGATACTTGGGAGGCTGAGGCAGGAGAATTGCTTAAACCTGGGAAACGAAGGTTGCAGTGAGCCAAGATTGCACCATTGCACTCCAGCCTGGGCATCGCAGCGAGACTCCATCTTAAAACAAACAAACAACAACAACAAAAAGAATGAAAAAAAAAAAGAAACTACAAACATTAAGAGGGACATCTCAATCTTGCAAATTATTCAGTTTGCTTTCAGCTCTGATTTCTAAAGGAAAGGACTCCCCTTTTCTACTGAGAGTTTAAGTTATACTCCCAGTTAAATGCTATCCACACCCCATTCCCACCCCATTCCCACAATGATAAAGCTGAGGGTTCTTAATCCTGGGTAGTTTGGGGGCATTTTAAAAACAAACAGGCCAGGCAAGGTGGCTCATGCCTATAATCCCAGGACTTTGGGAGGCCAAAGTCAGGAGTTCGAGACTAGCCTGGCCAACATGGTGAAATCTCATCTCTACTAAAAATACAAAAATTAGCCAGGCATGGTAGCACACGCCTGTAGTCTCAGCTACTTGGGAGGCTGAGGCAAGAGAATGGCTTGAACCCGGGAGGTGGAGGTTGCAGTGAGTTGAGATGGTGCCATTGCACTCCAGCCTGGACAACAGAGCAACACTCCGTCTAAAACAAACAAACAAAACCTCAAGTCTCTTATGTCAAAAGGAAACCAGAACTCGGGGCTGGGAACAGGTGGTTCAGGAAGCCCACTGCTGGGTCCTCTGGGATGCATCTAACACGCTCTTCTGTGTCTGTCTCCAGGCGACTCCGGAGGAAGCAAGAAGGGCGGGAAGAAGAAGGGCTCCTCTTTCCAGACCGTGTCGGCCGTGTTCAGGGTTGGTGTTTTGGCAGCTTCCATATTCACTTGTTTTTCTCCCCAGTGAAATGGCAGTTGCTAAATGTGCTTGTTTTGGTTTATGTCCCAGGAAAATTTAAACAAATTGATGACTAACTTAAGGAGCACCCACCCTCACTTTGTACGATGTCTGATTCCCAATGAGACCAAGACTCCTGGTGAGTACCAGCAGATCTTGCCAAGTATTTGAACAGAACAGGACGCCCTGAGATAAATGCAAAATTCTGTGGGTGTGCGTTTGGAAAGAGTGATGGTCTGTATCACTTCTGAAAGTAGTCTCTGAAATAGGGTTGCCAGATTTAGCAGATAAAAATACCGGATGTACCCAACACAAAGAAATGATAAATGTTTGAGGTGACAGATATCCCAATTATGCAGATATGATCTTTGCACATTTCACGCTTGTATCAAAATATCATGTGTACCCCATAAATATGTTCAACTATTATGTAACCACAAAAATGCTAAAAACCAAATGCCATATTAAATGTTATTAAATTTCAATTTCAGTTAAACAATGAAAAATGTCTAAGTGTGACCTATGCAATATTTGGAATATACTTCCTCTAAAAAAGTATTCATTGTTTATCTGAAATTCACATTCAGCAGGGCATCTGTATCTTATCTGGCACCCCTACTACGAAATCATATTCAAAATATTGTGTGTATGTATATAGGCACATCAGAGCCACAGCTTTCATAAGATAAAGGC